>NC_000017.11:794141-945656 GCF_000001405.40 Homo sapiens | reverse complement strand
GGGAAACACTTTTTTTTTTTTTTTTTTTGAGACGGAGTCACTCTCTCGCCCAGGCTGGAGTGCAGTGGCACGATCTCGGCTCACGGCAAGCTCTGCCTCCCGGGTTCACGCCATTCTCCTGCCTCAGCCTCCCAAGTAGGTGGGACTACAGGCGCCCGCCACCACGCCCGGCTAATTTTTTTCGTATTTTTAGTAGAGACGGGGTTTCACCATGTTAGCCAGGATGGGGGAAACTCTTATCTATTCCCCAGGGTTGTTTTTAAGATCCACTTGGGGGCAGGGCACAGTGGCTCACACTTGGAATCCCACTGCTTTAGGACGCCGAGGCGAGTGGATCACCTGAGGTCAGGAGTTGGAGACCAGCCTGGCCAACATGGTGAAACCTCGTCTCTACCAAAAATACAAAAATTAGCCGGGCGTGGTGGCGGGCGCCTGTAGTCCCAGCTACTCGGGAGGCTGAGGCAGGAGAATTGCTTGAACCCGGGAGGCGGAGGTTACAGTGAGCCGAGACTGTGCCGCTGCACTCCAGCCTGGGCCACAGAGCGAGACTCCGTCTCAAAAATAAAAAATAAAGAGAAATACTTGCTGCCCACCATCCTCCATGCACTTGCCTGGCATGTTGATGACGGAGGCAACCCTTGTGAGAATTCTCCTCTGCGGAGCCCTTTTTAGAAAATCCTACCCCATTTTAGAAAAATCCATTATGTACCCAGTTTTCTCTTCTCGGTGTGTTTCACAGTTCGTAGGTGTTCCACGGTTTGTTATTGTTGGTTTTTAAATCTTCCCTCAGTGTGGCCCCTGCTTGAAAGAAAACACTGACCCCGTTGGCCACGATTTAACAATTTTTGACCTCTGCCCAAGTTTTTCTGGATTTTTCTACCGGTTTAATTTCCAAGAGTGAGGGATACAAACTCACTGGAATCCCAAAACAAAGCTTGGTGTTTTTGAGGTGGAGATGAGGAAGGAGTTTCTTCCCCTTTCTGGTTTTCTCCGCCCTCCTCCTACCGGCTGGCTTGCTGGCCAAGGAACTTTTTCAGAACTGAATGATTTGCCAGAGATGAGAGGAAAAAAGGGCTGGTCCTTCAGAGCTATTTGCCACAAATAAACAAACAGAATCTACCTTACATTTGCCCCTTTGCCATCTGCTCAGCTGAGAGGGAGCCCCACGCTTGGTGAACACAGCGCAGGGCCTTTGCAGCCGACTGGGAAAACAGCTCCAGTTGGAGGCAGTCCTCGGACGGGGGTACGGACCTGCGGAAACCTTCAGCTTTGAAGTCAGAGAAGCGTATTTGATCTTGGAGTTTGGGGCCAATATGGACGAGACAGGAACACAAATCACCTGGATTGGAAGCTCTCATTATGGAAGCTTAATAAACAGGCTGCGTAGCTGGTATTTTTTATTTTTTTATTTTTTTCTGAGATGGAGTTTCGCTCTTGTTTTCCAGGCTGGAGTGCAGTGGCGCCATCTCGGCTCACTGCAACCTCTGCCTCCTGGGTTCAAGCAATTCTCCTGTCTCAGCCTCCCGAGTAGCTGGGATTACAGGCACCCGTCACCACACCCAGCTAATATTTTGTATTTTTAGTAGAGACGGGGTTTCGTCATGTTGGCCAGGCTGGTCTCGAACCCCTGACCTCAGGTGATCCACCCACCTTGGCCTCCCAAAGTGCTGGGATTACAGGCGTGAGCCACCGTGCCCGGCCAAATATTGTTATTTTTTTTTTAGGAGAAGGATTGTCGAGTTAAACAACTTTTAAAAAACATTATTTTAAGAATTGTGGTAGAATATACATAACATAATTTACTGTCTTCACCATTTTTTTTTCCTTTTTTAGAGACGGAGTCATACTCTGTCACTCAGGCTGGAGTGCAGTGGCGCGATCTCGGCTCCCTGCAACCTCCGCCTCCTGGGTTCAAGCAGTTCTCCTGTCTCAGCCCCCCGAGTCGTAGCTGGGATTACAGGCGTGCATCACCAAGCCCGGTTAATTTTTATATTTTTAGTACAGACGGGGTTTCACCATGTTGGCCAGGCTGGTTTTGAACTCCTGGCCTCAAGTGATCCGCCTGCCTCAGCCTCCCAAACTGCTGGGATTACAGGCGTGAGCCACTGTGCCCAGCCCGGTAATATTCTTTTGAAGAAAGATATGATTTAATGACCAGATGTTACTTTTTTTTGGGATCTCAAGGCTGGGCAGAGTAACTTAGAAAGTTACGGCACGTGGGGAACAGACGTGCTTGAGGTCATCACTCGGGGCCTCTCTGGGCCTTCCCTCTGTGACCTTAGAACCCTCTGGCCAGTCGACCTCCGTGGAGCCTCCTTTCCCTGTTGGTGACCTTTCTCTGGAGGTCCTCGAACCTGGGTAGTTCATACAGAGCTGGGAGTCGGTGGTTCGCTGGGTAACTTCATGCAGGACAAGCACCTCAGTTGACAGATTTAAAGTTCACAAACATTTTAGTCGAGAGAGAGAATGATGATGCCTGCGCAGGGGCTAACATTAATATTTACCTTAAGAAACCGACGGTTATTTTAAAACGATGAAGTATGTTGGTGCAGGGAAGGGAGGAGGGTCTAGTGCCGGGCCACCCCACTGTAAATCCAGGGAGGTGTTTGGTGAATTCATGGCTGCACCCTGGAATCTTGTTCACTGTAAATCCAGGAAGGTGTGATGTGAGTTCATGGCTGCACCCTGGAATCTTGTTCACTGTAAATCCAGGAAGGTGTGATGTGAGTTCATGGCTGCACCCTGGAATCTTGTTCACTGTAAATCCAGGGAGGTGTTTGGTGAATTCATGGCTGCACCCTGGAATCTTGTTCACTGTAAATCCAGGAAGGTGTGATGTGAGTTCATGGCTGCACCCTGGAATCTTGTTCACTGTAAATCCAGGGAGGTGTTTGGTGAATTCATGGCTGCACCCTGGAATCTTGTTCACTGTAAATCCAGGAAGGTGTGATGTGAGTTCATGGCTGCGCCCTGGAATCTTGTTCGCTGTAAATCCAGGAAGGTGTGATGTGAGTTCATGGCTGCACCCTGGAATCTTGTTCACTGGAAATCCAGGAAGGTGTTTGGTGAATTCATGGCTGCACCCTGGAATCTTGTTCACCGTAAATCCAGGAAGGTGTGATGTGAGTTCATGGCTGCGCCCTGGAATCTTGTTCGCTGTAAATCCAGGGAGGTGTTTGGTGAATTCATGGCTGCACCCTGGAATCTTGTTCACTGTAAATCCAGGAAGGTGTGTGGTGAATTCATGGCTGCACCCTGGAATCTTGTTCACTGTAAATCCAGGAAGGTGTGATGTGAGTTCATGGCTGCACCCTGGAATCTTGTTCACTGTAAATCCAGGGAGGTGTTTGGTGAATTCATGGCTGCACCCTGGAATCTTGTTCACTGTAAATCCAGGAAGGTGTGATGTGAGTTCATGGCTGCACCCTGGAATCTTGTTCACTGTAAATCCAGGGAGGTGTGTGGTGAATTCATGGCTGCGCCCTGGAATCTTGTTCGCTGTAAATCCAGGAAGGTGTTTGGTGAATTCATGGCTGCACCCTGGAATCTTGTTCACTGTAAATCCAGGAAGGTGTTTGGTGAATTCATGGCTGCACCCTGGAATCTTGTTCACTGTAAATCCAGGAAGGTGTGATGTGAGTTCATGGCTGCACCCTGGAATCTTGTTCACTGGAAATCCAGGGAGGTGTTTGGTGAATTCATGGCTGCACCCTGGAATCTTGTTCGCTGTAAATCCAGGAAGGTGTGATGTGAGTTCATGGCTGCGCCCTGGAATCTTGTTCGCTGTAAATCCAGGGAGGTGTTTGGTGAATTCATGGCTGCACCCTGGAATCTTGTTCACTGTAAATCCAGGAAGGTGTGATGTGAGTTCATGGCTGCACCCTGGAATCTTGTTCGCTGTAAATCCAGGGAGGTGTTTGGTGAATTCATGGCTGCACCCTGGAATCTTGTTCACTGTAAATCCAGGAAGGTGTGATGTGAGTTCATGGCTGTGCCCTGGAATCTTGTTCGCTGTAAATCCAGGGAGGTGTTTGGTGAATTCATGGCTGCACCCTGGAATCTTGTTCGCTGTAAATCCAGGAAGGTGTGATGTGAGTTCATGGCTGCACCCTGGAATCTTGTTCACTGTAAATCCAGGGAGGTGTTTGGTGAATTCATGGCTGCACCCTGGAATCTTGTTCACTGTAAATCCAGGAAGGTGTGATGTGAGTTCATGGCTGCGCCCTGGAATCTTGTTCGCTGTAAATCCAGGGAGGTGTTTGGTGAATTCATGGCTGCACCCTGGAATCTTGTTCACTGTAAATCCAGGGAGGTGTGTGGTGAATTCATGGCTGCGCCCTGGAATCTTGTTCGCTGTAAATCCAGGAAGGTGTTTGGTGAATTCATGGCTGCACCCTGGAATCTTGTTCACTGTAAATCCAGGAAGGTGTTTGGTGAATTCATGGCTGCACCCTGGAATCTTGTTCACTGTAAATCCAGGAAGGTGTGATGTGAGTTCATGGCTGCACCCTGGAATCTTGTTCACTGTAAATCCAGGAAGGTGTGATGTGAGTTCATGGCTGCACCCTGGAATCTTGTTCGCTGGAAATCCAGGGAGGTGTTTGGTGAATTCATGGCTGCACCCTGGAATCTTGTTCACTGTAAATCCAGGAAGGTGTGATGTGAGTTCATGGCTGCACCCTGGAATCTTGTTCACTGTAAATCCAGGAAGGTGTGATGTGAGTTCATGGCTGCACCCTGGAATCTTGTTCACTGTAAATCCAGGAAGGTGTTTGGTGAATTCATGGCTGCACCCTGGAATCTTGTTCACTGTAAATCCAGGAAGGTGTGATGTGAGTTCATAGCTGCACCCTGGAATCTATTTCACTGGAAATCCAGGGAGATGTGATCTGAATTCATGGCTGCGCCCTGGAATCTTGTTCACTGTAAATCCAGGAAGGTGTTTGGTGAATTCATGGCTGCACCCTGGAATCTTGTTCACTGTAAATCCAGGAAGGTGTGATGTGAGTTCATGGCTGTGCCCTGGAATCTTGTTTTTAAGGGTCCTGCAAAGCCCGCTGGGCTGTTGTGAGATGAGGCATGCCGTCCGTACCTGGTTCTGAGTGGTGAAAGGGTCTGGGTGATGTCTTCGTTAGGGGCTTTTGACCTCAGTGGAATTGATTTTTAACAGAGACATTGCGTTTGGAAGTTGCCCACGGCCCTTTTTCCTTCTTTTTACCAAAACATCTATTGGGATAGTTTCCTCTTTTAAAAGTAATATTGAGGCCAGGTGCAATGGCTCACGCCTGTAATCCCAGCGCTTAAGGAGACAGAGATGGGAAGATAGCTTGAGCCCAGGAGTTTGAGACCTGCCTAGGCAACATAGCGAAACCCTATAATCCACAAAAAGGGGGAGAAAGAGACCAAAAAAAAAAAAAAATTGAGGCCAGGCACAGTGGCTCATGCCTGTAATTCCAGCACTTTGGGAGGCAGAAGTGGGAGGATCACCTGAGGCCAGCCTGGGGAACATACTGAGACCCCCCCACCTCGATCTCTACCAAAAAAATACAAAAATTAGTTAGCTGGCGTGGTGGCCTGTGCCTGTGGTCCCGGCTACTCAGGAGGCTGAGGTGGGAGGATCACTTGATCCCGGCAGTTTGAGGCTACAGTGAGCCATGATCACACCACTGCACTCCAGCCTGGATGACAGCAAAAAAAAAATAAGAAAAAAAAGGTAATACTGGAAGCGGGAGTTGACTGCACTCTCCCTGCCCCACTGCAGGGCCCGCCACAGTGTTGCTCATGCCTGCAAATTATATTTTTTAAAAAGTAATAATGGATCATCGAATACAAAAAAAGCATGTGGGGGATCAGTCTCCTGCAGACCCCCTAGCTAGAAGCATGGATGTTCCGACATCACAAGGCAGCCTTGTCTTTTCCTATGTAGGCACGTACGTGTGTGTCTTACACAATTAGGATGTATTTTGAGTGTATTTTCATGTAAGAACGTATTCTTTAAAAAGATGATCTCTGGCCAGGCGCGGTGGCTCACGCCTGTAATCCCAGCACTTTGGGAGGCCAAGGTGGGAGGATCACCTGAGGTCAGGAGTTTGAGACCAGCCTGGCCAACATGGTGAAACCCCATCTCTACTAAAAATATAGGAATTAATTAGGCGTGGTGGCGGGCACCTGTAATCCCTGCTACTGGGGAGGATAAGGCAGGAGAATCACTTGAACCTGCGAGGCAGAGATTGCAGTGAGCCAAGATGGTGCCACTGCACTCCAGCCTGGGTGACAAGAGTGAAACTCTTGTCTCAAAAAAAAAAAAAAAAAGCTGATTTCTAATAGTTACGTGGTATTTTGCTGTATCTATCTGTCTATGTGTATATATGTACCATATTTAATAGTTTCCAGTTTCCTATGATAGGAAATGTAGGCCAGTTCCAGATTTTGCTGGAATAACCAGCGCTGTTATAAACTTGTTTTTATATTCTTCTCTGTGCACATCTTTGGTGGTTCTCTAAGGATAAATTCCTAGAAGAGGAATTGCTAGGTCAAAGATTCTGTTATATTTTTAGCTCTCATTTTCCTTTCATTTGTTCTTTTCTTTCTTTCTTTTTTTTTTGAGAGGGAGTCTCACCCTTGTCGCCCAGGCTGGAGTGCAGCGGTGAGATCTTGGCTCACTGCAGTCTCTGCCTCCCAGGCTCAAGCAATTCTCCTGCCTCAGCGTCCCGTGTAGCTGGGATTACAGGAGCCCGCCACCACACCCAGCTAATTTTTAGTAGAGACGGGGTTTTGCCATGTTGGCCAGGCTGGTCTTGAACCCCTGGCCTCAAGTGATCCGCCCGCCTCGGCCTACCAAAGTGCTGGGATTACAGGCATGAGCCACCGCGCCCAGCCTGTTCTGTTCTTAATTTTATCTTCTTTTTCATCATTTTTCTTTTGATTTTGCCTGTTTTCTTTCTTTTTGTTTTTGTTTTTTGTTTTGTTTTTTGAGACAGTGTCTCACTCTGTCACCCAGGCTGGAGTGCAGTGGCGCAATCTCGGCTCACTGCGACCTCCGCCTCCCCAGGTTCAAGTGATTCTCCTGCCTCCGCCTCCCAAGTAGCTGGGACTACAGGGGCTCGTCACTAAGCCCGGCTAAGTTTTGTATTTTTTTAGTAGAGACGGGGGTTTCGCCATGTTGGCTGGGCTGATCTCGAACTCCTGACCTCGTGATCCGCCTGCCTCAGCCTCCCAAAGTGTTGGGATTACAGGCGTGAGCCGCCGCGCCCGGCCGGGCTGGGGACCTTTTCTTTGGCTCGGCCTTCGCACTAGCTGTGAGCTGTGTTTGTGGCCAGCTCACTTGCTGTCATATCAGGGCAAGCTCTTGCCGCCTGCTCTAGATCTAACCGCCGACCTGGGCCTTCCCATCATCTCGTGCTTTTCAAAAACTGCTTTCTGGAGCAGTAAAACCGCCCAAGTGGAAAGCTTGTTCCTCTCCGGCCTCTTTTGTCCTCTGACCCTGACCCCTCCGAATAGGCATATTCACAGGGTTCTCCTGGGGCCTCTGCCCCTTAACCTCTGTGTATTTGCTGCTACGCAGAAGGCCATTGCAAGGTTGGCCTTGGTGGGTTTTCAAATGTGGTCCCAGCTGCAGCCATTCCTCTTCCTTCCTGTCCTTGTACCAAAAGCAGAAGCCTTCTGGGTTCTTCTTCAGCGACGGCCCCTGCGCCCCGTGGCTCCTGTGGCCTTTCCGCTGGGCGCAGCGTTTTTCTTCCCTCGTGGCTGCTGAGCGCTGCTCTGGGCTATGTGACTTCAAAGCCATTCCCCCAGAGGTAGCTGTCCTTAAACTAAAACTGAAACGAAAGACATTTCTGAGCTCCTTAAAAAATAATCATCATCATCGAACGCCCCGTGAATTCTCTGCTTTTCATGTGGTTCCCGGCGTCCCCGTGACAGCGTGACCTGTTGTGGGCTGCCAGCTCGGATGCCTTTGATGTCTGTCTCCAGGATACTTCCCTGGAATCTGTGCAGAAAAGAGTGAAATTGGAGTGAGTGTGTGTGTTGGGGAGGGCGGTGGGGGGACCCCAGGAACTTTGGGGGTGTGTTCTGAAGGAAACGAGCTTGAACCGGCAATAGCCTCGGAGAAGTGTGCGTTCCTCTCGATGACGGAGAGTTTTGGCTTTTCCCTCCTTTTGTCCCTCCCCACCTGTTTTCCCTGAAGCTGCCCCTTTGGTTCTCACTGTGTACGGATCACCGCAGAGCCCCCTTCTCCAGGTGTGTTCCTTGTGTCCTGAGTTCTCAAGCAGCCTTGTGGGTCCCTGTTGGAAGCTGATTCCTTCCGTTTCCTCTGGCCGCTTCCCTCTTGGACTCCTGGGCTCTTCTTTTTTGCCCTGCACCTTGCCCCCTGCCCTCCTTTTTCTTCCTTAAGAAAAAATGCACCCAGCACCTTGGGAGGCCGAGGCGGGCGGATCACCCGAGCTCAGTAGTTTGAGACCAGCCCGGCCAACATGATGAAACCCCATCTCTACAAAAAATACAAAAAATCAGCCGGGCGTGGTGCTGGGTGCCTGTAATCCCAGCCACTCAGGACACCGAGGTGGGAGGATCACTTGAGCCCGGGAGGCAAAGGCTGCAGTAAAGGCTGCAGAGTCTCACTGTGTCACTCAGGCTGGAATGCGGTTGTGCAATCTCGGCCTCCTGGGGTCAAGCTGATCCTCCCACCTCAGCCTCCCAAAGTGCTGGGATTACAGGCGTGAGCCACCGTACCCGGCCTTTCTGCCTCTTTTCTATCCATAGGTGTTGTGATGGTGAACACAGGCCTGCCTTTTCTGGAACACTCCCAGTTTTATGTCATTTTAACTTTTTCATTAAAGGTGAGCTTATGTGGGGAAGTGTGACTTAACTGTAATACCTCTGTGAAGTATCTCGTATGCGTTTGCAAGTTAGAAAAGAAATCCGTTATAAATCCATGGATTCTGAAAACTGGTACCGCCGACAGCTCTGATGCCCCGTTTTAGCCAGACATCGTAGCACCCTTTTTTTCCCTCACTGTTTGCACAACCAGAATTGGGCACCCCAGACCTGAGGCAGGCCGACACACCTCGCCCTTCTCTCCTGCCCTTCCTCCAAGTCCAGTTTTTCCGCAGCAGAATCCTGCTTTCAGTCACTTTTGGGGACCGGAAGGTGTGGAAGGAGAGAATCATCGAGCTGGGTGGTGGCAGCACGCGGCGTGTGCACTGACAGGATGGGCTTGACCTGGGCAGATGCTGGCCGGGTTGTGTGTGGTGCACACTCACCACCTCACCGTGGACACTCACCAGGGCACCCGTCGCTGCAGTGCCTCAGAGGGAGGGCGGCTCTTCCACCCCACGGGAGAAGAACACAAAGCAAAACCAAAGGCTTTGTCGCAGGGGACGTTTCTGGTCTAACAACAGGAGGTTGCTTCCACCAGGCCCCACAGCATTGAGCCCGATGGCGTGTCTTGAGTCCATAGGTTGAATCGAGTGGCGTGCTGGTGAGAGGGACACACTCCAGCCATCTTTTGGAGGACAATCGATGGAAGCACAAGCAGGAGCTGGAGGTTTTTTTTTTTTTTTTTTTTGAGATGGAATCTTGCCCTGTTGCCCAGGCTGGAGTGCAGTGGCACGATCTTGGCTCGCCGCAACCTCCACCTCCTGGGTTCAAGCGATTCTCCTGCCTCAGCCTCCTGAGTAGCTGGGATTACAAGCATGCACCACCACATCCAGCTAATTTTGTATTTTTAGTAGAGACTGGGTTTCACCATGTTGGTCAGGCTGGTCTTAAACTCCCGACCTCAGGTGATCCACCTGCCTCCACCTCCCAAAGTGCCGGGATTATAGGCGTGAGTCACTGCGCCCGGCCTAGGCTGCAGGTTTTATTCCAGGCAAGGATGTGGCTGGCATGGTATCTAGTGGGATGTTATGAAAGCTGGCTTTGTTCTGCAGGATGGCAACAGTCAATACCCGCATGAATAGCAGGCTCTCCCAGCTCTCAGAGCAAGCTCCTTCTGTGATTCCTGGGCGTGTTCTGCAGAGCTCAGGGTCTTAGACACAGTAGACGCTCAGTAAACACGTGTGGAGTGAATGAGCGCAGAGCTCATTGATCAGAGTGCATGTTTGTTGCAGCCGCCAGCACATCCTAAAGCTGGATCCTGAAGTGTCTTGGTCTTTTCCTACAACCTTGCCAGACCTTTAAGCATCTCCTTGTCCCGCCGGCCATGACCGAGCGGAAGCCTCCCACTTCTCAGTGTTCTTCAGCTGGGGGGTTTCTGGCTGTCACACAGACCACATGATATAGGAGGTGGGGGTTTTGTGCCAGAGGATTCCCAGATACGAAGGAATTGGAGCAGAGTCCTGCGGCTGTTTAAAGAGCACAGCAAGGCCGGGCGCGGTGGCTCACACCTGTAATTCCAGCACTTTGGGAGGCCAAGGTGGGCAGATCACCTGAGGCCAGGAGTTCGAGACCATCCTGGCCAACATGGTAAAACCCTGTCTCTAGTAAAAACACAAAAATTATCTGGGCGTGGTAGTGCATGCACCTGTGATCCCAGCTACTCAGGAGGCTGAGGCAGGAGAATCACTTGAACCTGGGTAGTGGAGGCTGCAGTGAGCCGAGATCACACCACTGCACTCCAGCCTGGGAGACAGGGTGAGAGACCCCATCTCAAAAAACAATAAATAAATAAAAAAAAATAAAGAGCACAGCAAAATGATGCAATAATGAGTGGCAGCAAGTGAGGACTCTGTCCAGACAGTCCGCTTGGGACTGGGCTAAAAGAATGTTCTTTCTTTTCTTTTTTTTGAGATGGCGTCTTCCTGTCACCCAGGCTGTAGTGAAATAGCACGATCTCGGCTCACTGCACCCTCCGCCTCCCGGGTTCAAGCGATTCTCCTGCCTCAGCCTCCCAAGTAGCTGGGATTACAGGTGCGTGCCATCACGACCAGCTAATTTCTGTATTTTTAGTAGAGATGGGGTTTCACCGTGTTGGCCAGGCTGGTCCCGAACTCCTGACCTCAGGTGATCCACCCACCTTGGCCTCCCAAAGTGCTGGGATTACAGGCATGAGCCACTGTGCCTGGCCGAGAATTTGGGTTGGAATTTGGCCAGACTTGGGAATTTCTTGACTGTAAGTCACCAATTCAGCGTCTTTTCCAGAAATGACTTTCTATACTTCTCTTACTTCCAGAAGTAAGTTTTCTTCTTATTGTACTTTTTTTTTTTTTCTTTGAGACAGAGTCTCGTTGTGTTGCCCAGGCTAGAGTGCAGTGGTGCTATCTCGGCTCACTGCAAGCTCCATCTCCCGGGTTCACGCAATTCTCCTGCCTCAGCCTCCCCAGTAGCTGGGACTACAGGTGCCCGCCACCACGCCCGGCTAATTTTTTTGTATTTTTAGTAGAGACAGGGTTTCACCGTGTTAGCCAGGATGGTCTCAATCTCCTGACCTCGTGATCCGCCTGCCTGAGCCTCCCAAAGTGCTGGGATTACAGGCGTGAGCCACCGCGCCCGGCCTCCCGGGGTGCTGGGATTACAGACGTGAGCCACGGCGCCTGGCCTTCTTATTGTACTTTCTAAATTTCCCCATAGTCTGCATGTATGACTTTTATAATCATAAAGTGAAAAATAAAATGCCTTTTTAAAAATTAATTGAAGTTTGAGAACATCGTGTCATTTGTTTTAAATCACATAGTGAGGCATGCCACCCATTTCCCCTCCTGTTTATTTTTCAATTAATAAAAGGCAAGGGATGTTTATGCTTGAGGCTTGAGGACCTTGGCTGCTTGTATTGGAATCCACGACTTTAGTCCAAATTGATAAGTGTTCTGGTATTTGTGGAGGCTTTTTATTTATTTTATAAAAACCAGCTTACACGAAGGCACATTTCTAAAGTTGACCACGTAGGCTTCAGGATAAACAGCTTTCTAGTTAGTGCCTCGTGAATAATACGGATATGGATTTACTGGAGGTGTCTTGAATGTGTTCTTATTGCATTGTTTTAAGTTAGTGGGAGGCCAAGATGAAAGGGGGAATTTCAAGATAAGCTGTGTGAGTCATTTGGTGTTGCGGTGGGGAGTTGAGAGGGATGGAATTTGCCTTGGCATTCACGCAGAGTCCTGGTGCAGAAAGTGTGTATCCAAGCAGAAGGTGGCCTGGGCTTGTCGGAGTCAAGGGGCCCTCATTTTGGCTGGGATTTGGGAAGTGAGCATGTCGTGAGTCTAATATTAGAAAACCAGTTCTTCCCCTTCCCCCACCCCCATCCTGAAAGCTTTTCTGTCCCTGTCGCGATGTGTGCCCGGAGTCTCTCCCGCTCCTGTCTCGAGTGCTTTCTCTGTGAGCATTCATTTAATTTACTTCTTGGCTGCCTATCTTTTTACTAATCAGATTTCCTCCTCTGGCCGAGCTCTTCTCCCAAAGGCCTCAACTTTGTCTTCAGCTGCCTCGCACCAGTTAGGGGGTTCTGTGTTTCAGAGGTGGACGTTGGCTTCTGTAAGTGGTAACTGCAAATCTGGAGTACAGAATCACATCAGATCCACAAGAGTTTTCTGTTCTGTGGTTGGTTGTGTCGTTTCTCGGTCCTCGTGGCCCCAGAATGATCTTGCCTTCTGGAACCTCTCGGGACTTTTTCGCCCACTTGGGAGCTTCGGGCCACAGCCTTTGATGTTAGTGGGAAGGGATATTACAAGTGGTCATGACGACTGAAACTGAGCAGGTTCAAGAGGACGGGCTGGGCTGGGCGCGGTGGCTCACGCCTGGAATCCCAGTACTGAGGGAGGCCGAGGCGGGCGGATCACCTGAGGTCAGGAGTTCGAGACCAGCCTGGCCAACATGGAGAAACCTCATCTCTACTAAAAATATAAAAATTAGCCTGGCGTGGTGGCGGGCGCAGATGACTTATGCGAAGCCGGCCACAACAAGGCACTCCCCACCCACTCAGCTGCTTGTCCGGGGACCACACAGCCCACTCGCTGCCCACTGATGGCAAAAGTCGGTGCCTCTCAGAAGCCTCTTCCGGTGATGGGTCCTTGCTGCTGACCCCACTAGAGCTCACACAGGGCAGGGGCCCAGAACCTGGGGAAACTAGCCCTAGAGATCCTTTAAAATCCAGCCTGTGTTTTCTTAGAAGGGGCTCAGGCCTTCCCCTGAAGCTGCCTTACTCGCTGAGGAGACGACGACTGGACCCAACGCCGCCTCAGAGTTTTGTTTTGCTGAAGACCTGCGGTTTCCAAACTGATGAATAACCAGAAGGACTGGTTAAATGCGGATTCCTGGGCCCCATCCCAGAGTTCTTGACTTGGTAGGTCCAGGCTGGGGCCCAGTAGTTTGCAATTCTAGCAACAGTTCCCAGGCAACCCGGAAGCCGTACGTCCAGGGACCAGAGTTTAAGAACCGCCGCCTAGGACCAAAACAAGGCCGGTTTGGGTTGGTAGCTGGGCAGGTAGACAGACTCTTCAGATCAGCTTTGCCTTAGCTTTTTTTTCCAGGATTCCAAATAATTAAACATTTCTAAAATTGTTCGTTTTGTTTTATTTTTGAGATAGGGTCTTGCTCTATTGCCCAGGCTGGAGTGCAGTGGTGCAATCTCAGCTCACTGCAACCTCCGTCTCCCAGGTTCAAGCGATTCTCCTGCCTCAGCCTCCCCATTAGCTGGGATTATAGGCACCCACCACCACACCTGGCTAATTTTTGTATTCTTAGTAGAGATGGGGTTTCACCGTCTTGGCCAGGCTGGTCTTGATCTACTGGCCTCGAGTGATCCCCCCGCCTCGGCCTCCCAAAGTGCTGGGATTACAGGCGTGAGCCACTGCGCCCGGCCAAAAATTTTTTTTTTTTTTTTTTTTTTGAGACGGAGTCTTACTCTGTCGCCCAGGCTGGAGTGCAGTGGCGTGATCTCAGCTCACTGCAAGCTCCGCCTCCCGGGTTCATGCTATTCTCCTGCCTCAGCCTCCCGAGTAGCTGGGACTACAGGCGCCTGCCACCACGCCCGGCTAATTTTTGTATTTTTAGCAGAGACAGGGTTTCACTGTGTTAGCCGGGATGGTCTCGATCTCCTGACCTCACGATCCGCCCACCTCGGCCTCCCAAAGTGCTGGGATTACAGGTGTGAGCCACTGCGCCCGGCCAAAAATTTTTTTAAAATAAATAACATGTGCTTATGGCGAAAACAAAATCAAGTAGTATACATAGGCTTATTATATGACTTTATCTTTCTTGTTTTTTTTTTTTGAGACAGGGCCTTGCTCTGTCACCAGGCTGGAGTGCAGTGGTGTGATCTCTGCTCACTACAACCTCCGTCTCCCAGGTTTAAGCATTTCTTCTGCCTCAGCCTCTCCAGTAGCTGAGATTACAGGCACACACCACCACACCCAGCTAATTTTTTTTTTTTTTTTTTGGATGGAGTCTCGCTCTGTCGCCCAGGCTGGAGTGCAGTGGCGCGATCTCAGCTCACTGCAGCCTCGACTTGCTAGGCTCAGGCAATTCTCCCACCTCAGCCTCCTGTGTCGTTGGGCCTACAGGCGTGCGACACCACACCCGGCGAACTTCAACATTATGTGTTGGTTTTCTGCTAGGCTAGAGATCGATTTAGCTCCCTTAAAAGCAAACTCACCAGCCGGGTGCGGTGGCTCACGCCTGTAATCCCGGCACTTTGGGAGGCTGAGTCGGGCGGATCATGAGGTCAGGAGTTCGAGACCAGCCTGACCAACATGGTGAAACCCCATCTCTACTAAAAATACAAAATTAGCTGGGCGTGGTGGCTCACACCTGTAGTCCCAGCTACTCAGGAGGCTGAGGCAGGAGAATCACTTGAACCCGGGAGGCAGAGGTTGCAGTGAGCCGAGATCGCACCACTGCACTCCAGCCTGGGCAACCAGAGCGAGATTCTGTCTAAAAAAAAAAAAAAAGCAAACTCAACTTTCTTTGTCCTCTTGGTATACCACCATTTACGGTTTTCCTGGTTACACTTTTAGCATTTAATAACATGTTTATGCCTTTACTCCTTATCCTTCAATAGGACTTTGGGAACGTTGGTGTCTTTCTATCCTGCCCATCAGGTCTCCTGCACTTCCTTCCTATTTTTTGTACCTTTAGCTTTGTCAAGGTTGTTCGTATTTACATTGTGTTGTGTCACCGGGATTCATGCTTTGTGTGTAGTTGAAAATCAGCCAGTCAATCAATAGGGGCATTGTTGTGTCTGTAAATATTGTTTGTGGCAAGTTCAAGTGGTATTTTTTTTTCTTTTTTGAGACGGAATCTCGCTCTGTCACCCAGGCTGGAATGCAATGGCACGATCTCAACTCACTGGCAACCTCCGCCACCCGGCTTCAAGTGATTCTTCTGCCTGAGTCTGCTGAGTAGCTGAGATGACAGATATCCGCCATCACACTGGCTAATTTTTGTATTTTTAGTAAAGATGGGGTTTCACCATCTTGGCCAGGCTGGTTTTGAACTGTTGACCTCACGGTGATCTGCCTGCCTCAGTCTCCCATAGTACTGGGATTACAGGTGTGAGCCACTGCACCCAGCCTGAGTCCCCTTTTTAACTTGGAGAGTCCCCTTTCCTGGGAGTTACCAGTCCTCCTCCATTCCAGACACAGGTGGTTCTCTGGGTCGGCTACACAGCTGTCATTCTGGAACTTTCTTCGGTACTTTCCTGAGTTGGATTTTATTCTAACCCCCGTCATTGATTGATTCCAAAGTTTTTTTTTTTTTTCTGTAGTTCAGATACCAGTTAGATGTGTTACCAAGGAGATCTTAAAGAGCAAACTGCATTTTCGAGAGCAGAGCTTTAAAATTTAGTATGTGAGTTCAACAGGTTACGTGTAAATGGGAATCAGCTGTCTTTGGATTAAACACTACTACACAGTTTTTTTTAAGAAGATTAAAAACGGAAGTGAAGCAAGGATTCCAAACGCTCTTTCCAGAGCAGCCCAGCTGCTTTGCAACCTGGACTTGAGCCTCCTCCGGTTGGGTCAGTCTGGAATCAGAGCCGCCTCCAGGGATTGAGGGATGCGTGGTAGGTATGGTGGGAAATGCTAAGCTAAGGTTGAACCCAAGTCCTGAGTTGAAATCCCGGTTTTAGTTCCTGTTAGCTGGTTGATCGCCCTTCTATTTTGGACAATAAGCCCAGCCTTCCTGGAATATTGGGAAGGTTAAATAAACCAGAGGGTAGGGGGGCACACTGGAAAACTGGGATGTTCTTCACAGACAGGTTGTCATTGTGAAGCTGTGAGATCAGATGTTGGATCTTGCTACAGGAGCTAAACCTGCAAAAGCTGTAAGTGAAGACCGAGCTGGAGTTTCGTGCACAGTCAAAACGTGTAGCCAATTGGACATATTTAATAACGTGAACCAGTGTTTTCCTGCAGGACTCACCAACTCAAATGCCAGTAGAGGGCCAGGCAGGTGAAGCGAGTGGCCTGGGCCAGGTGGTGGGGGACAGAGTGGAGGGCCGCAGCCAGCCCTCGGGGAAAGCCGGCGCTCACCTCCAGCTGCCTGTTGCCGTAATGAAGGCCGACGTTGCCAGCTCTTCTGATTTTTCAAGCTAACAAACTGGGTTTTTATGTGAAGCTAGTTAAGTTTTACATGCTGTTAGCCAGTTAAAATTTTTCTTGACATTGGGCAAAGCCAAACAAAGCACATATGCCATTCACTAATTTAAGGCCTCGGCTTTACTCTGTGGGAATTAAGTGTGAATTGCAAACAGTTCCTAAAAGTTATGATGTGTATTGCATTTATACAGCTGATTACGCGTTTAGGCCATTTGCTCATCTGCTAGTCTTCTTGATATCTGCACATGTGAGCGGTATTCTCCAGTATCTTTTATTTCCTTAATTATTTTTTGAGACAGAGTCTCACTCTGTCACCCAGGCTGGAGCGCAGTGGCATGATCTCGGCTCACTGCAAACTCCGCCTCCCGGGTTCAAGCGATTCTCCCTCCTCAGCCTCCCGAGTAGCTGGGATTACAGGTGCCCACCACCACGCCCGGCTAATTTTTGTATTTTTAGTAGAGATGGGCTTTCACCATGTTGTCTAGGCTGGTCTCAAACTCCTGACCTCAGGTGATCAGCTTGTCTCCGCTTCCCAAAGTATTGGGATTACAGGCGTGAGCCACCGCGCCCAACCTTCCAGTACTTTTTCAAGGGAATTAAGGATAATGTTGAGATGAGCACAGCCAGAATGGATCTTTTTAGAACACAGTGAGAAACTTCCCTCTAGGTTAATGGTATTCATCCACTAATCCAAGCTTCAGGGGTGTGGTGGTTGGCCAGTTACCAGTTCACATTATCCAGCCTGTGGATCTATGTTGTCCACAAGGATTCCATAGGAAATCTCACCGAATGCTTTTCTGATGAAGTCAGATGTGCTTGGCAGAGCACGTTACCCAAACTGCCACTCTTTGGAATGAGATGTGAAGTTAGCTGGGTGTCGCTTTTTAAAGAGGTGGTGCTGTGGCTGAGACCCCCGCTGCCTGGACTCTGTGCTCTTGAGACCCCCACTTTGCAGACTGCTCATACATCAGCTTTCCTAGTGACGCATGCTTATGGCACTTTCTTTGCAAAACACCTTCGTCTGCATTCTCATTAGTCCCTTACCACAACCCTGTGAATTAAGTAACTCCTCCAGATTCTTGGCCAGAGTCCTCTTCAAGTTTACAATCTGTGGTTTCCCTTTATCTAGGATGTTTATCCTCGCCTCTCTTTGCTAATGACCACCAGCCCAGATTCTCAGAGAGGTTGACTTTGTTAACACAAGCAGCTGGGGTTGGTGAGAGTCCAGGTGGTATAAGGAACATCACGTGCAGACTCAGTAATTAAAGAAAAGCTGGTGAGGGGGCGAGTGGGCACGGCTGTCTCTAGGAGTTCTTTTGAAATGGGCTTCACTTCTCCCTCTAAGCCCGTCCCTTTTGTTCTCTGCCTCTGAGAGCCAGTGCTGTCTGGCTGGTTATGCCGTCTCCCACGGAGTATGCCTCCTTCTGCTCCTCCCGCAAACCATCGCTGTCTGACTGGTTACGTGGGCCATCTCCCACTGAGCCCGCCTCCTTCTGCTCCTCCTGCAAACCATCCTGGCTACTTTTGCTTTTTTTTTTTTTTTTTTTGAGACAAGGTTTTACTTCCGTCACCCAGGCTGGAGTGCAATGGCGTAATCTTGGCTCACTGCAACCTCCTGCCTCAACCTCCTAAGTAGCTGGGACCACAGGTGTGCACCACCACGCCTGATTATTTTATTTTCTGTGGAGACGGGGTTTCGCCTTGTTGCCGAGGCTGGTCCGGAACTTGTGAGCTCAAGCGATCTGCCTGCCCTGGCCTCCCAAAGTGCTGGGATTCCAGGTGTGAGCCACAGCACCCAGTCCTAATTTTGCTTCTTTTACCTCCCTTTTCTTTTCTTTTTTCTTTTTTTTTGAGATGGAGTCTCTGTCGCCCAGGCTGGAGTGTAGTGGCACAATCTCGGCTCACTGCAACCTCCGCTTCCCAAGTAGCTGGGTCTACAGGCGCCTGCCACCACGCCTGGCTAATTTTTTCTGTTTTTAGTAGAGGCGGGGTTTCACCATGATAGCCAGGATGGTCTCGATCTCCTGACCTCGTGATCCGCCCACCTCGGCCTCCCAAAGTGCTAGGATGACAGGCGTGAGCCACCGCACCTGGCCTTACTTTTGCTTCTCTTACCTCCCTTTTCTATACTCCTTCCAGCCTCCCATTGGATCACTGACTCACCTCCCAGGGTTGTTATGAACAGTTTTCTTGGCTGCATTGGATGGGAGATGGGCAAAAGTGTTTATCCCCAGACTCTTTCATTACCCAGAGCCTTGTTCTACAAATCCCAGGGATGTGTGGGATGGCCAGACACGTTGGCTCACGCCTGGAATCCCAGCTCTTTGGGAGGCCAAGGCGGGCAGATCGCTTGAGCTCAGGAGTTTGAGCAGCTTGGGAACATGACGAAACCCCATCTCTACAAAAAATACAAAAATGAGCCGACGTGGTGGTGCACGCCTGTGGTCTGAGCTACTCGGAACGCTGAAGTGGGAGGATGGTTTTAGCCCGGGAAGCAGAGGCTGTGGTGAGCCGAGATTGCACCACTGCACTCCAGCCTGGGCGATAGAGCCAGACCTTGTCTCAAAAAAAAAACAAAAAAACAAAAAAAAAACAAAAAACATGGGATACTCCTGTTAATAAAGAGAAAAGAGAGGGGAGGAGAGCCGGGCACAGTGGCTCACGCCTGTAATCCTAGCATTGGGAGGCTGAGGCGGGAGGATCGCTTGAGCCCAGGAGTTCGAGACCTGCCTGGGTAACATGACAAGACCCTGTCTTTATAAAAAATAAAAAAATTAGCCGGGTGTAGTGGTGCATGCCTGTAGTCCTAGCTACTTGGAGGGCTGGAGTGGGAGGATTGCTTGAGCCCGGGAGGTTGAGGCTGCAGTGAGCCATTGACGGTGCCACTGCACTACGGCCTGGGTGACAGAGTGAGATCCGTCTCTTGAAAGAGGGAAGGAGGAGAAAAATAGAGACAGAGACGGTAGATACTGAGAATGTGCGGATCTAACATTGTCTTGAATCTTGAGAGCTTTCATCCATCCCAGAGATTCCTGACAGGTCATAATTCTGCTAAGACATAGATTTGCATTGCAGCCCAGCTGCTAACTCTTAAGTCATTAAAACTTTCTTTGTGAAAAATGGCTCTTTTGCAACGAGAATCAGCTGCTACTATTGGTGATATCAGGGAAGAAAAAGCAAAGATTATCTAAAGAAGTGATAGCTCTTAGCCAGAGAAAGGGAGTTTTGGATAAACTAAAGACTGGAATGATGACTTTTTGCTGTGCTGGGAGCAAGCCCACCATGTACTTCTTGGGGAACAGGGACGTTCGTGAGCATTTTAGCAGTTGCTTGAGCCAGGGCAACGTTTGTATGAGTGAGGTGGTTTTAGAGAAAGTTGAATGGGGAGTTGTAGTGAGAGGTGAGACATTAACAGCAGCAACAACCACCACAGATCAGGAGCTGGGCACAGTGGCTCACGCCTGTCATCCCAGCACTTTGGGAGACTGAGGCGGGCGGATCACCTGAGGTCAGGAGTTCAAGACCAGCCTGGCCAACATGGTGAAACCCCGTCTCTACTAAAACTACAAAAACTAGCCAGACATGGTGGCGGGCGCCTGTAATCCCAGCTACTCGGGAGGCTGAGGCAGGAGAATCGCTTGAACCCGGGAGGCGGAGGTTGCAGTGAGCTGAGATCGCGCCATTGCATTACAGCCTGGGTGATAAGAGCAAAACTCTGTCTCAGTCAGTCAATCAGGAAAAAGCCAGAAGCCTCTCCAGCCTCCTCTGTGTTCCTGGGTTTGGGGTTTCTGAAGCTGCCTGGATGTGCTTCTCTGGAATGTTGGGGCCTCCTTGTACCCGTCACTGGACTTGTTCAGGCAGGTGCAGTGTGACCAGCTGTCAAGAGTATTCCTAGGTTTGCTTTCCGGGAGGCGGGAGGCCTCATTCTTGACTTAAGTCTCTGTATCTCCTTTCCACCCCTTCTTTCTTCCTCCCTGTCCTCTCCTTTGGTGCTTCTGCGAGACACCAAAGCCTGAGACAGTCAAACCTGAGACAATCAGCTTTGAACAAGAGATGCAGAGGCTTTTGGTGGCTAGTTCTTACACCTGAATCCGCCGGCTGCTCCCAAGGCCCTGGGCCAAACCTCAAAGCAAATAGTTACTTTTCCTTCCCATCTGACTTGTAAAATCTCTTCTCCCAACCCCCATCCCAAATTGCCACCCAGGCCTGTCTCCAGCTCTGTGTACCTGTACTTCCTGCCTTTACCTGGGCATTCCTTTCTGAGTGATGGGAGTTTCGCAGATGAAAGTAACTTACACCGAAGGTGTGAATGAGGCTTGGTCTTTGAATGTTTGCATTTTAAAACTGAATGAGGCTTGGTGCTGCCAAGGGCTGGGGCTGGGGAGCAGGGGAACGGAACGGAACGGAACGGAGTTAGTCTTTACTGAGGACGGAATTTCAGTTTGGGAAGATGGAAAGTTCTGGAGACAGATGGTGGTGATGGTAGCAGAACAGGAGATGCACCTAATGCTGCAGGACGGTCCACCGGAACACACTTGAAATAGGACATTTTCTGTTATGTATGTTCTATCACAACAACAAATTAAAAATCGGCCGGGCGCAGTGGCTCATCCCTGTAATCCTAGCACTTCGGGAGGCCGAGGTGGGCGGATCACCTGAGGTTGGGAGTTCAAGAGCAGCCTGGCCAACATGGTGAAACCCCATCTCTACTAAAAATACAAAATTAGCCGGACGTAGTGGCTCACGCCTTGCAATCCCACCTACGCGGGGGGCTGAGGCAGGAGAATCGCTTGAACCCAGGAGGTGGAGGTTGCAGTGAGCCGAGATCGCGCCATTGCACTCCAGCCTGGGCAATAAGAGCGAAACTCCATCTCAAAAAATAAATAAATAAGCTGTCCCAAATAAATAAAATAAAAAATTAGTCGGGTTTGGTGATACACACCTGTGGTCCCAGATATGCAGGATGCAGAGGTGGGAAGACCCTTGAGCCCAGAATCGTGCCACTGCACGGCAGCCTGGGCAACAGAGTGAGACCCTGTCTCAAAAAAAAAAAAAAACTTTTTGAGAATTTGAAAAATGTAGAAAAGCACTAGAATATAGGAATCATAAACCTCCCCACTGCTAACATTTTGCACTTTATTTGTATATCTTTCCTTTCTTCTGTAAAATATACTTAAAAAAATACAAAAGTGGGGTTTAACTATATACCTGTCGTTTTGTCGTTTCCACTTAACTATCTCACGAATATTCTCCTCGCTCATCAAATATTACCAAGTGTTTCATCTTCACTCTTGCTTGATGTTTCATCATTCCTGACCCCCGATGAGGTTGTCCTTCTGGTATCAAACGCACTTGTGTCCTATCTGTTTCTTTTATGCTGCTTATCAAAGTTTCTAGTTACATATGTTTTGGGGATATTTGATGTCTGTTTTCTTACAAGAGCGTAAACTCTGTGAGGACCTGTCCCCAATGCTGGACGCAGTGTCCTGCACGTTGCAGGTCTGCAAATAGTGACTATATGGATATGTTGTTGAACATTACATTTTCCAATTTTTGCTTGGATGGGATGGCCTTTATTTTAAAATTAATTAAAAATTTTTGTTTGTTTTTGAGACACGGTCTCGCTGTGTTGCCCAGGCTGGAGTGCAGTGGTGTGATCACAGCTCACTGCAGCCTAGACTTGCTCAAGCAATCCTCCCGTCTCAGCCTCCGGGGTAGCTAGGACTACAGGTATGTGCCAACACACCTGACTAATATAAAATTTTTTTGGTGTAAAGCGGGGTCTTGCTTTAAGTTGGTGCACAAGTAATTGCACCAACGTGGTTATTTTTCTGTGCGAAACACTGGAGTGGCACCCAGGTGGATGTAAACAGAGTGAATAAGACAAGGGCCCTGCCTGGAGATGTTGTAGTAAAAACCTCCTGCCTTGGCCTCCCAAAGTGTCGGGATTCCAGGTGTGAGCCACCGCGCCGTCCAGGTGGTGGTCCCTAAGGCAAAGAGAAGTCCTGAACTCGTGGATAATGCTGTCAAGGAAAGTAAAACAGGAGACAGAGTCCGGGAGAACTTGGGAGGTGAGTAAGTCGAGTTGAAGTGAGAAGTAGGGAGGAGATGAAGACTCTGGGCTCCCAGCTCAGGCCCTGGGAGCCACACACGGCACCTTGTAAGAATGCAGAGTGGGCCGGGCGTGGTGGCTCACGTCTGTAATCCCAGCACTTTGGGAGGCCGAAGGCAGGTGGATCATGAGGTCAGGAGATCGAGACCATCCTGGCTAATACGGTGAAACCCCGTCTCTACTAAAAATACAAAAAGTTAGCCGGGTGTGGTGGCGGGCACCTGTAGTCCCAGCTACTCGGGAGGCCGAGGCAGGAGAATCGCTTGAACCCCGGAGGCAGAGGTTGCAGTGAGCCGAGATCGCACCACTGCACTCCAGCCTGGGCAACTGAGCAAGACTCCGTCTCAAAAACAAAACAAAGAACGCAGAGTGGAGTCCTGGCTGGGCACTTCTCACCTTCTGACGTCTCTCTGGCTCTCAGCCCCAGATTTGAGCACCTCCTGGTTCTGTACCTCAGGCTAACTGGGTCTTTTGTTAAGCTCTTGATTTTGGAATGTACGCTTAGATTTTATTCGTGGCCCCATCCTATTTCCAACTAATGGTTCTCACACTTTTCTTTTTTTCTTTTTTTGAGACGGAGTTTTGCTCTTGTTGCCCAGGCTGGAGTGCAGTGGCACGATCTTGGCTCACCACAACCTCTGCCTCCCGGGTTCAAGTGATTCTCCTACCTCAGTCTCCCGAGTAGAGTAGCTGGGACTACAGGTGCCCGCCACCACACCCAGCTAATTTTTGTATTTTTAGAGATGAGGTTTCACCGTGTTGGCCAGGCTGGTCTCAAACTCCCAGCCTCAAATGATCCACCTGCCTCGGCCTCCCAAAGTGTTAGGATTACAGACGTGAGCCACTGTGCCTGGCCAATTCTTACAGCTTTAAGTCATATCCCTGAATACAGGGCTAACCCGTTTCTGTTGGCCAACAAAGTCACAGTTACCCGCTGAAAAGGGTTTCTTAGAATGAGGCCCTTTGCCCAGTCTACTACCAAAGGGTTGATGTGGGGAGCTGGGTTGACAGCGATGTCTTCAGTCTATATAAGAAATACAGAGGGAGAAGCAGGTTGGAGGAAGGCGGTAACCTCAATTTTAGAAATGTTGAGTTTGAGGTTCCCTTGGGATACAGGTGAGACTGCGGGCAGGTAGAGCCCAGAAGAGATGCCAGTGGCCAATGAGGGAGAGAGCCTGGGCCTGCCAGGTGTTGTCCAGGGGCAGTGAGGATGAGAGCCTGGGCCGGCCAGGTGTTGTCCAGGGGCAGTGAGGATGAGAGCCTGGGCCGGCCAGGTGTTGTCCAGGGGCAGTGAGGATGAGAGCCTGGGCCGGCCAGGTGTTGTCCAGGGGCAGTGAGGATGAGAGCCTGGGCCTGCCAGGTGTTGTCCAGGGGCAGTGAGGATGAGAGCCTGGGCCGGCCAGGTGTTGTCTAGCGTGCTGGAGCAGATGGACTCATCTTCGGGACAGGAGGAGAAAGCCAAGGGTGAAACCATCACCCCCAGCATTCAGGGGCAGGCAGAGGGGCTGGCGTAGGGGACCAAGGACAAGCCACAGATGCAGAGGGGCCAGGAGAGGTGCGGGAAGCGTTTCGAGGAAAAGATGGAAAGCAGCAGTTTCAGGGGGCGCCGTGGACCGGAACAAGATGACGGGTTCCGCTGGGTGTTGTTGGTGGCCCCGCTGAGAGCCGGCTTGTGAGTGCGGAGAGGGAGCCGGGGTAGGAGGAGGCTGTGGTGAGTCAGGGAGCTTGGGGCTGAGCCAGAGGAACATAGAGGTTGCCTGGGGATAAACAGTTACCTTTTGAGTGGTAAAGACTTGACCCTGTAGGTGGAGGAAGAGGAAGGAGTGAGCAGAGGAAGGGGCTCCCCTGTGTGCCAGCCGCTGCTCTGAGGGTGGCTGAACGCCGTCCCGTCTAACTCTCACTACAAAGCTGTGATATAGATGCTCTTCTCTTTATTTTACAAATGAGAAAACTGAGTCACAAAGAGGTTAAGAAACATATAAAGGTCACATAGAGGCTGGGCACGGTGGCTCACACCTGTCATCCAGGACTTTTGGGGGCCAAGGTGGGAGGATCACTTGAGGTCAGGAGTTCAAGACCAGCCTGGCTAACATGGCAAAACCCCGTCTTTACTAAAATTACAAAAATTAGCCGGACATGGTGGCGGGCGCCTGTAATCCCAACTACTCGGGAGGTTGAGGCAAGAGAATCGCTTGAACCCGGGAGGCAGAGGTTGCAGCGAGCCGAGATCCCACCACTGCACTCCAGCCTGGGCAACAGGGCGAGACTCTGTTTCAAAGGAAAAAAAAAAAAAAGGCTTCCTGAACGGTGGAATCTTCCAGGTGATTTTGAGGGCGATTGGCAAGGCGGTATGAATGAAGACCTCATTGAGAACGTCCTGGGTGCTGCCAGTGAGGGTACAGTTGATGAGACCCACCCTGGGCTAGGGCATACGGATGGCGAATGAACCTGGATGAGCGTCGAGGGTTGAGAGCCTGGGAGAACGCTGCAGAGCTGGAGTGAGCTGGTGAGGGCTGGTCACTTGGGGAGGGAGCGGAACCCTGGGAGGAGAACGCTGGAGGAATTGGGATCAGGCAGGCTCGGCATCCCCAAGGCTACATTGGCCTTGGGGCATGACAGGAGGGCCTAGGTATCCCCAGGCGCTCGGGGCTGGGAGGAGAGCCACATGGGCACCTCATCGGCCCCCTTGGCTGAATTTGAACAATCACTTGATGTTGACGTTGCCAGATTCCTCCAGGTCAAAGCGGGAGCCAGGGGCGGGGGGAGATGACAGGAGGCAGCATTGATAAGTTTGTAATGTTGGATTTCGGGGTGTAGACTGGGCGTGATGGCTCGTGCTTGTCATCCCAGCACTTTGGGCGGCTGAGATGGGCTGATCGCTTGAGCCCAGGAGTTCAAGACCAGCCTGGGCAACATGGCGAAACCTTGTCTCCACCAAAAATACAAACATTTGCACCGCGTGGTGGCTCGAAGAGAGTTGGAGGCGGAGGTCCTCACATGGAGGAGGCCGTGGAAGTGGGTAGTTGCTCTGGATGGGTGATGAAGGCACCAAGGGTGCCGGTGGGGGCTGAGGCAGAGAGAGATGGAAGGTACATTTTCCGCCATGGCCTGGGGGTTAGTGAATACCAGTCTGCAAGGTGACAAGAGGGAGGTGTAGCTATGTAGCTAGATGAGGTCGCATACCAGTGTGGTCCGCCAAGATTGAATGATGGAAGGGAGAGCGTTTCCTGGTGTTTTGTGCCGGACCGCTCTGCCCCTAGTTGTATTTTCTGGACTGCGTTCCAATATTATTTTCAGTTGTTGTTCTGGAGCCACGCACTGCCTGGTAAGGGCTGATTGGTGTTGTCTCTGTCTCCCACCTTGAACCAGAGCCCGTGTCTGAGGGCCGCGTGGGACGAATGCGGGGATTCCGAGGACGACGTAGGTTCTGTAACCCACGATACGAGGAGGTGCTGTAGAAAGCCGTTTGACTGCGTCCTCCCAAAACTGCCACTTTAATTTCTGGTTGTGCTGAGATTACAGGGCTTTTTCCTCGTGTTACAATAACACGTTTTCTAGCATCTTAAGGAATGATTGCCCTGCATTGACAGAGTATTGTAATAAAAGCTGTTTAATTGGAATAATCATTCCAGAACCTTTTTTTTGTTTTGTTTTGAGACAGAGTCTCACTCTGTCACCAGGCTGGAGTACAGTGGCACAATCTCGGCTCACTGCAACCTCTGCCTCCCTAGTTCAAGCTATTCTCCTGCTTCAGCCTCCCAAGGAACTGGGACTACAGGTGCCCGCCATGACGCCCGGCTGATTTTTGTATTTGTAGTAGAGACGGGCTTTCACCATGTTAGCCAGGATGGTCTCGATCTCCTGACCTCGTGATCCACCCTCAGCCTCCCAAAGTGCTGGGATTACAGGTGTGAGCCACCGAGCCTGGCTGAAACATTTTTTTTTTTTAAAGCAATAGGGTCTTACTCTGTTGCCCAGGCTGGAGTGCAGTGGTGCAATCATAGCTCACTGCAGCCTCAAACTCCTGGCCTCAAGTGATCCTCCCGCCTCAGCCTCCCGAGTAGCTGGGACTACAGGCGCACGCCACCTTGCCTGGCTGCAGAGACATTTTTAATGAGGAAGGAGGCTGTGGAAACGTAGTTTAACTTACTTTGTTTTCTGAGTCCTTAAATTCACCAAGGATTCAACAAACACCCGCCCCCCCACCCCCGGCCTTTTTTTTTTTTTGAGACTGAGTCTCTGTCTCCCAGGCTGGAGTGCGGTGGCGCGATCTCAGCTCACTGCAGCCTCTGCCTCCCGGGTGCAAGCGATTCTCGTGCCTCAGCCTCCTGAGTAGCTGGGATTACAGCCGCCCACCACCGCGCCTGGATAATTTTTGTATTTTTAGTAGAGACAGGTTTTCATCGTGTTGGCCAGACTGCTCTTGAACTGTTGGCCTCAGGTGATCCGCCCGCCTCGGCCTCACTTTCTGGGATTACAGGCATGAGCCACTGCGCCCGGCCTCAACCAAACCCTTTTTAAGTCAAGAAATTAAGACAAAAAGTAGCTGGAATGAAAGTGAGTGATTGACTCGGGAGCCAAATGGAAATGGGAGTCACGGCCTCCCTGAGCCCAGTTCACGAAGGAGATGAAACGCTGCGATGAAACTCGCTGATGGATCGTGCGCTCCTCCCATTTCCTTCCGACCCTCCCGCCTTTTCCTCCAAACCGAACGTTACAAAGGAAAATAATCTTAATCAAGACCAGACCCCTTTGGGCCCAGGGTTCTGGGGCTGTTTCTGGCACAACGGCCAGGCCCAGCACAGCCTGGTTTGTGATTGTTTGATTACAGGAGGAAAATGCTGTGTTGTTTTGGGGGAGGTGATATTGAGTGTTCTCGTGTTTCTTTTGTCTGTTTTTGGCCCATCTTCTTAGTAGGATCATGTTATGAGTTATTTTCTGGTTTAGACACACAACTTTTAAAACTGAAACTGAGATTTCCTTTATGCTGCAAATACGGAGTGAGTTTTTGTGATGTGCCGGGCCCTGCCGTGAGCCATGTGTCTTCCATAAAGTACGAGCTCAGTAAACATTTTATTATTATCCATTAGGGGTTCTTGTCAACAAAACTGAATACAGACCACATTCTTCTTCACCAGTACGCAGTCCCCTTTGTTTGGAACGGGAGTCCCCCCTCTCCTGTCGCTTATCCCCTTTCCCATCCGCCCTTGTCCCCACCTCTGCGAGGCCTTCCTGGGGAGCGAGAGCCACGCCCGCCTGTTGTGCCAGTACGCGCCCCTTGTAGGGCTGGAACCTGGGGTGTCCGTCTAGGAGGTCGGATTGGGTAGGGAAGCTCGCCTGCAGCGGGTGGCCTACATTGGGTTGAGATGGTGACGTGCGTCTGAGCCACGTCCTTGTGGGAGAGCTGGGAATCGAGCCTGTAGACACCAGTGCTAAGTTCAAAGAGTGGGTGGAGATAAAAAATGGGCGTAGGGTGGGACAGCAGGTCCAGAAGGAAGAGGAGGAGCTGGTGTGGTTTCCACAGACGACAGTGTGGGGCTGCTCTGTGAGTTTAGGTTCATGAGTAAAGATGTGAGCGGCGGCTCCCGCCTGTTCTTTCAGAGGCCCAGCACTTTCAGAGGCCAAGGCAGGCGGATCACGAGGTCAAGAGATTGAGACCAGCCTGGCCAACATGGTGAAACCCCGTCTCTACTAAAAATACAAAAAATTAGCTGGGCATGGTGGCGGGCGCCTGTAGTCCCAGCTGCTCGGGAGGCTGAGGCAGGAGAATCGCTTGAACCCGCGAGGCGGAGGCCACGGCGAGCCGAGGTCGCGCCATTGCACTCCAGCCTGGGCTACAGAAAAAAAAAAAAAAGATGTGAGCTCAGGCGTGGAACACCTCATTCCTTGGTTCACTTAGGAACAGGGAATCTTGTTGGAGGCAAAGCGGATGTTTGATTTGTAGCTTCAGCATGTATAACAGAACAGGACACACAGGGAATGTCTGATAATGTGATTAATGAATGAAGATAAAGACCCACCAAAAATACCCACCTTCAAGGTGGTTTGAAAATTTACAACGAAGAGGTTAGGGTGGTAACTAACCTAGAGGCCTGTTGGTTGCTGTAATTTTTTTTTAGAGATGAAGTTTCTCTCTGTTGCCCAGGCCGGAGTGCAATGGCATAACCTCAGCTCACTGCAACCTCCACCTCCCGGGTTCAAGTGATTCTCCTGCCTCAGCCCCCGAAGTGGCTGGGATTACAGATGTCCGCCACCACACCTGGCTAGTTTTTTGTATTTTTAGTGGAGACCTCAGGTGATCCACCTGCCTCGGCCTCCAAAAGTGCTGGGATTACGGGCGTGAGCCACCGTGCCCGGCCAGCTGCTGTAATTTGTGAGCTTAATGTTAAAATCCTGAGTGCTTTGCAGGGATCCCTGGGATCCCCAAACACTTAAAACTGATTCCTTGGATATTTACAGTAGCTACTGCAGCTGGGGTGCAATTTCACATTTTACCAGGAGGGACTGTCTGAAATCTCCTTCATTTTTAAGTTTTGGAATGTGTTTATATTTATTTTCCTTTTTTTTAGTTTGGTAACTTTGAAATGTCATACGTTAATTTTACGTAAAACAAGGGATTTGACTTTGACTCATTTCCAAAAGGCCCCTTGCAGGGAAAATTGTCTTTTAAATTGTTTTAAATAATCTCATTTTCAGCAGGAAGAAGTAGAAAGGATAAAATGGATCCTGCACCACGGGAACCTCACAGCACCTCACTCCTTGTGGCTTTTCCTGTTTGATACTCTGCTTTCTGAAAGATGCAATTTTCTGCCTCCATTTCTGTTGCCGACGTGCCAGGATTTCTAGCAAAGTGGGCCTAGAGTTTTGCTGGAGGTTACTTTTCCTTGGAAGCAATTCAAATACAATCATCATTCTGTTTCTCCCTTTTCATTCGACATTTGAGTAGAACAATGGCTTGGCAGCCAGACAGGCGCTCTTAAGAGCTTCAGTGTTTTTATCTTTGCCTTTTGAGAAGTGCCTTTACAAAATGTGGTTTAAAATTGAGCCTACAAACAAAAACACAGAACCGATTGCTTGGAGACCAAAACTCTAGGGACAAGGACAAAAGAACTGGGAGAGGGGGAGCAGCTGGAAGTTCCAGCTCTGACACCATAAGTGGCCGCCCATTTTAGGGGAAGTTTCGGCTCTGACACCATAAGTGGCCGCCCATTTTAGGGGAAGTTTCACCTGGAAGCCCCAGCTCTGGCCCCATAAGTGGTCAGGCATTTTAGTGTTGCACTAACTGGTCTCTGCCTTCTTGGTTTATTGCCAAGTTTCCAGCCCTGGGGTATCCTTGTTATTTACTTTCCTCCTGCACCAAAGCTCGGAAGCGTTACACTATGTACTCATTCATTCTCACTTTTACTCCTTTCTTAGAAATAATTTCCTAGAGTCCAGGTGTGGTGTCTTATATCTGTAATCCCAGCACTTTGGGAGGCTGAGGCAGGTTGATTGCCTGAGCCCAAGAGTTTGAGACCAGTCTGGGCAACATGGCAAAACCCAGTCTTTACAAAAAAATACAAAAATTAGCTGGGTGTGATGGCACACTCCCGTAGTCCCAGCTACTTGGGAGGCGGAGGCAGGAGGATTGTCTGAGCCCAGGAGGTGGAGGTTGCAGTGAGCCGAGATGACTCCAGCCTGGGCGACAGAGTGAGACTCTATCTCAGAAAGAAAGAGAGAAAGAATTCCTAGAGGTCATGCTAATCATAATCCCACTTATTCTCAACTATAAAATCCTCAACTGGCCGGGTGCAGTGGCTCACGCCTGTAATCCCAGCACTTTTGGAGGCTGAGGTGGACCTATCACGAGGTCAGAAGTTCGAGGCCAGCCTGGCCAATATGGTGAAACCCCATTTCTACTAAAAATACAAAAAATGAGCTTGGCGTTGTGGCGGGTGCCTGTATTCCCAGCTATTTGGGAGGCTGAGGCAGGAGAATCTCTTGAACCTGGGAGGCAGAAGTTGGAGTGAGCCGAGATCGCACCACTGCACTCCAGCCTGGCGAGCGAGACTTTGTCTAAAAAAAAAAATCAACTCTGAAATTTTTCCAGTACAAGTGTCTGCGATTTCACCCCCTTTAATATTTTAGGAAAACTCATCTCACTTGCTTGCTTTATTTGCCTGTGCTGTTGGTTCCACGCACTCATCAGCTCCTCCAGGGGAAGCCCTGGTTCCCCACATCCAGCTCCGCCTCCTCTACACCCAACAGTCTTGCTTCCCACATCACGGTACGCTCCCTGTTAACTCGCTTGCTGAGTTAATGACCTCACTCAATGGACTGTGGACTCTTTGAAGGTCAGAAGCGAGTCTCTGCTCCTCATCTTTGTCTCCGCCTGGTTCGATGCTCAGCACAAGGTAGCATTTCATACATGTTTGTTGAATTGTGTATATTCCTGTCTCCTCTAGGAACCTTGCTTGCGCTACCAATTACAGACCTCGGTGTTTGCCTTTGACCTTGCCTCTACTGTCTCATTGCATACTTCTCGCCTTAAAAAGAATCTTCCTTCTGGCCGGGCGTGGTAGCTTGTGCCTGTAATACCAGCACTTTGGGAGGCTGTGGCGGGTGGATCACCTGAGGTCAGGAGTTTGAGACCAGCCTGGCCAACACGGTAAAACCCTATTTCTACTAAAAATACAAAAATTAGCTGGGCGTGGTGGCGGGTGCCTGTAATCCCAGCACTTTGGGAGGCTGAGGTAGGCGAGTCACCTGAGGTCAGGAGTGCGAGACCAGCCTGGCCAACGTGGCGAAACCCCATCTCTATTAAAAATACAAAAATTAGCTGGGCGTGGTGGCGGGCGCCTGTAATCCCAGCACTTTGGGAGGCTGAGGTAGGTGAGTCACTTGAGGTTGGGAGTTCGAGAGCAGCCTGGCCAATGTGGCGAAACCCTGTCTCTATTAAAAATACAAAAATTAGCTGGGTGTGGTGGTGGGTGTCTGGAGTCCCAGCTACCCGGGAGGCTGAGGCTGGAGAATCACTTGAACTCAGGAGCCGGAGGTTGCAGTAGGCCAAGATTGTGCCACTGCACTCCAGTCTGGGCGACAGGGCGAGACTCTGTCTCAAAAATAAAAATAAAAATAAATAATAAAATAAAAATCTTCCGCGAGTTTGGGAGGACACGCCGTTATAATGAATGTCCTTGCACTTAAGTAAGTGAGTTTATGCCAGTGTAGATGGAAAGGGCAATTGTTTACACATTTTTTTTCTGCTTCATTTTTGTCTGCTCTTTTACTACAAGGATAAGAAAGAGCAGGTGCCAGGAGAGAAAAGTCATCTGAGAAGGGTCCCGGTCTCTGCATTGCCTGGGGACGTGGGGGTAGGTGGAGAACCTGCCTCTTTATCGGTTCCCGGTCTCTGCATTGCCTGGGGACGTGGGGGTAGGTGGAGAACCTGCCTCCTTATCCTCTTTTCCTTTGGTCTCTGTTGTGCCACGATGTCTCTGGGAAACTGACCGACTCTCCTTTCTCAGCCTGTTGCTCTCTGTCTGTCGTGTTGAGGAGTCTCTGCTGTGGGCAGGGGCCGACATCTTCATCTGTGATCACTTCTGTGTTGAAACAGCTAAGCCAGCGCTAGAGGCAAAAAGGGTTCCCAGACTCTGGAAAACTGACAAGCGAATGGACTTTTCAGACTCCAGGAGAAAATGGGCCATCCTGGGCTGTGGGGGTGCTCTGTGGATGAGTTCTGTCATTTGGGAGCTGGCAGTGGTTTGGTGATCAACTGTTGGCTTTTCCAGATTTTACAAAATCGGGAAGGATTTTTGGTGACTCATGAATTTTCTGTTCAATTTTACTTCTCCTAATAAGAAGTTAGCCTCTATTTATGTTCAGAGAATTAATCTAGATTTTATTGGTGACTATAAAAGAGATGACTGTAATATAAAACTTCTATATGGTCCAAAATACCAGAAACCAGATCAAATGATAAACCCTAGGGTGAGAAAAGATATTTCCAACGTATATGACAGAGAAAAGTGCTATTTTTCTTTTCTTTCTTTCTTTTTTCCGTCCTTTCCTTTCTCTTTTCTCCTTTCCTTGTTTCACTCTGTCGCCCAGGCTGGAGTGCGGTGGTGCAATCTTGGCTCACTGCAAGCTCCATCTCCCGGGTTCAAGCGATTCTCCTGCCTCAGCCTCCCGAGTAGCTGGGATTACAGACACGTACCACCACGCCCGGCTAATTTTTCGTATTTTTAGTAGAGACGGGGTTTCACCATGTTGGCCAGGCTGGTCTCGAACTCCTGACCTCAGGTGATCCGCCCGCATCGGCCTCCCAAATGTAATCTTCATGCTGGGATTACAGGTGTGAGCCACTGCCCACTGGCCTGTTTTTTTTCTTAATGCATAAAGAGCTTTTAAAATCAATTTGGGTAAAGAATTTGAACAGAGAAAGACACATAAACATGAAAAGATGCCTGGTTCTGTTTGCAATTAAAGAAGTACAACTTTTGAAATATGTGATTATTAAACTGGCAAAAGGAACATTTGATAACATACAGTGTTGGCAAGGATGTAGACGGGGTCTCTCCCGCGTGGTTGGGGGAGCGTAATCTGATGCGGTGTCTTTGGCAGTGTTTTAACACAGTTAAAAATGTGTGGACCGTTTGACCTGTCAGTCCAATTTCTGGGAATTTCTCAACAGATCTTACAAATACGGTTGACCCTCAAACAACGTTGGTTTGAACTACACCGTTCCATTTATACACAGATTTTTTTCAACCGAATGTGGATTAAAAAATAGAGTATTTGGCCGGGTGTGGTGGCTCACGCTTATAAGCCCAGCACTTTGGGAGGCTGAGGAGGGTGGATCACTTGATGTTAGGAGTTCAACACCAGCCTGGCCAACATGGCAAAACCCCATCTCCACTAAAAATAGAAAAATTAGCCGTGCGTGGTAGCGGGCGCCTGTAATCCCTGCTACTTGGGAGGCTGAGGCAGGAGAATCACTTGAACTCGGGAGGCAGAGGTTGCAGTGAGCCGAGATCGCGCCACTGTACTCCAGCCTGGGCAACAGAGTGAGACTGTCCATCTCAAAAAAAAAAAAAAAGTATATGCATGAATATCGTCTGGAAGTTACTTAACTGAGGGGATTACCTGAGGGCCAGACTGGGATCTGGGGAGGGAGAAAGACTCACGTGAAATGTTTTATGTGCATATTTTGTTTTTATAGTTGGAGAAAACTATGAAACTTTGGTTAGACATTAAAAAAAAAAAAAAATTGGCCGGGCCCTGTGGCTCACACCTGTAATCCCAGCACTTTGGGAGGCTGAGGCGGGCAGATCACGAGGTCAGGAGATCAAGACCATCCTGGCTAACAGGGTGAAAGAAACCTCATCTCTACTAAAAATACAAAAATTAGCCGGGTGTGGTGGTGGGCGGCTGTAATCCCAATACTTTGGGAGGCTGAGACGGGTGGATCACAAGGTCAGGAGATCGAGACCATCCTGGCTAACACGGTAAAACACCATCTCTACAAAAAATACAAAAAAAATTAGCCGGGCGTCTGTAGTCCCAGCTACTCAGGAAGCTGAGGCAGGAGAATGGCATGAACCTGGGAGGCGGAGCTTGCAGCAAGCCGAGATCGCGCCACTGCACTCCAGCCTGGGCGACAGAGCGAGACTCCGTCTCAAAAAAAAAAAAAAAAAAAAAGAAGACTTGCATTAATGGAGAAACAGACTGTTCCTGGCTAGAAATACAAAATATTGTAAAGATGTCATTTCTTTAAAATTAATTTATAGATTTAATGCAGTCATAGTTAAAAATCCCAAGCAGGGGCAGGGCATGATTTTTATTGTTAAGAAGCTTAGGGTAGAGTATGGGAGACAGAAACATAATGTTCACAAAAATATGCCTTGAGCAGTTACAAAGCCGTATATCAAGTGCAAAGCAATAAAATTGGATACATATGCACTGTGGGAACTTGGAGTCCTTTGAGAGGACACACTATTGGCAGAGTGGAGTTAATCAGCAAAAAAAATACTTTAAAAAAAAGCTAAAAAAGATAAGCTAGAGCAGGAAGGAATCTTCCTTAAAGTCCAGAGTCTCCCGGAACATGGAGACTGTCCTTCCCAAGCCTTCTCGCGGGGAGGGAATTCCTTCTTTCTGCCGCCTGTTACATCCCTGTGTGAGAAGGTCTGTGAGCTGAGCCCACATCACTCGTTCTGCTGCCCAGGTGTGCTTCCATCTTCACTGTGGAAAAGTCATTTTGAACTCCCCGGTGACTGCAAATTAAGTAATCAAGGACAGATGGGACTGGGTTGACCATTCCAAGGAGTACAGTTACTTGAAGAATCTGGAAGCAATACCGAGCACATTTGTTGGCATTAATTCATTGGAGCAATAATGCTGTACGTAGAAAGTATGTTGCTTTTTTAAAAAAACATCATCAGTTCTGAGCATTTGTAGCAAGTGAACTCTAACTTGGAACGGATGATAAATTCTTCTAAAAAACAAATAAAAACCCTCCAGACAATATTATGCATTGAGAGCTTTAAAAAATATATATCCTACAGCATTTGGAAAACACTTTGTCTGTCTATGCCACTTACAAAGATTAGAACTTTTTTTTTTTTTTTTAATGGAGTCTCACTCTGTCACCCAGGCTGGAGTGCAGCGGCGCGATCTCGGCTCACCACAACCTCCGCCTCCCGGGTTCAAGTGATTCTCCTCCCTCAGCCTTCTGAGTAGCTGGGATTACAAGTGCCCGCCACCACGCCTGGCTCATTTTTGTATTTTTAGTAGAGACAGGGTCTCGCCCTGTTGGCCAGGCTGGTCTCCGTCTCCTGGTCTCAGGTGATCCGCCTGCCTCGGCCTCCCCAACTGCTGGGATTACAGGCGTGAGCTGCCAGGCCTGGCCAAGATTAGAATTTGAGTCATAGGTTGTTTGATTTAGGAGGTGTAGGATGTTGCTTCAACCTAGAACTGGATGGAGCTTTTAGGAGATTTAAGATTGTTCTCTTGGCAAATAAACTGCCTTTATGTTAGAAGTATTTCATGATTCTTTCATAAGATCCATAGTGGATAGATATAGATATTAAAGGCGATATCACTCACCAGCGTTTTTTAAGACGTTGTCCTCTGTCACGCGCTGTTTTCCGTTAGTCCACTTCAGAGGCATCACTACCAGCAGTTGCTTAAGACTCATTTCCGGCCGGGCGCGGTGGCTCAGGCCCATCATCCCAGCACTGTGGGAGGCCGAGGTGGGTGGATCACGAGGTCAGGAGATCCAGACCCTCCTGGCTAACATGGTGAAAGCCGTCTCTACTAAAAATAAAAAAAATTAGGCCGGGCGTGGTGGCTCACGCCTGTAACCCCAGCTACTCGGGAGGCTGAGGCAGGAGAATGGCGTGAACCCGGGAGGCAGAGGTTGCAGTGAGCGGAGATCGCACCCCTGCACTCCAGCCTGGGGGACAGAGCAAGACTCAGTCTCAAAAAAAAAAAAAAAAAAAAAAAATTCATTTCCTTTGGAACACAAGTTTATCAGCAGAAGTCGAGAAGTGCTGTCTTTTGTGAACATTCTCATGTCAGAACAGGTTTTCGGTGGCTTGATTGTTTTTTCTCAACAGTGCAGGTCTGTCCAAATGTTACACTGGACTTTATTCTAAGGGAACGCTATTCCTCTATTTGGTACCACAGAAGAATAAATATAAAATCTCTCTGTTTCATGCCGAGCACTGGTTGTGTAATGTTTAGCTTTATAAGTGTTTGTAATTTCAGATTTTGCAATGTTTTATGAGATTAAAAGTGAAAAACAAAACCCAAGATGTTTCTTGTTTAATCTTCATTATTCTGTCACTTAAAAGAAGATTTTGAGATGTGTTCCTCTCGTTTGACTAGGACAGACTGCTGGCAGGGAGTGTTTTTTTTTTTTTTTTTTTTTTTTTTTTTGAGACGAAGTCTCACTCTGTCGCCCAGGCTGGAGTGCAGTGGTGTGATCTCGACTCACTGCGACCTCTGCCTCCCAGGTTCAAGCACTTCTCCTGCCCCCGAGTAGCTGAGGCTACAGACAAGTGCCACCACACCCGGCTAATTTGTTTTGTAGTTTTAGTAGAGACGGGGGTTTCACCATGTTGGCCAGGCTGGTCTCAAACTCCTGACCTCGTGATCTGCCTGCCTCGGCCTCCCAAAGTGCTGGGATTACAGGTGTGAGCCACCGCACCCAGCCGGGAGTGTATTATTAAAAGTGCTAGTCGTGGTTTTCAGTGTTTAAAACATGAGGCAAAGGTTTCATGGATCCTACACCTAATGGCACCTGTAGTCTTGAATTTTTGGTCTGAAGACAGTTGTTGGTGCTCATGGGATGGAAGGAGCTTTGTGATAACCCTGAAGCGCTCTCCAGGGGGCCTTTGGTACATGTTTGGGATCCACTGCCGTGGACTATTTGGTTTAACCATAATGGCTTCGGTCCAAAAAAGTAGAACATGGGTTTTTTGTTTTGTTTTGTTTCCTTTGAGACAGAGTCTCGTTCTGTTGCCCAGGCTGGAGTGCAACGGCACAATCTCAGTTCACTGCAACATCCACCTCCCAGGTTCAAGGGATTCTCTTGCCTCAGCCTCCCAAGTAGCTGGGATTACAGGCTCCCACCAACATGCCTGGCTAATTTCTGTATTTTTAGTAGAGATGGGGTTTCACCATGTTGGCCAGGCTGGTCTCAAACTCTTGACCTCATGATCCGCCTGCCTCAGCCTCCCAAAGTGCTGGGAATACAGGCGTGAACGACCGTGCCCGGCTAGAACATGGGTTTTTGAAGTAACCCAATTAGAGACCAGAGGAGAAAAATCAGGGGTCAGAATTGAGGAAATTGTTCTTCCTTTATAGCTCACCCCTACTGTGAGCCGTCTCTGGGGAACACTCAGTTAAGAAAGGAAAACTTATTATGATTATGTTCTGTTTCAGAATGTTGGGACCCTTTTTTTCTTGGAACCTTTAGGTCCTAAAGCAGGAATGCCTTTGAACAGACCACAGGTGTCTCTAGAGAGGGAGACTTGGGGGTACTCTGGGAGGTTGAACTGAGACCTCCCAGGTTCAGGGACGGAGCGCTGCTGAGCCCATTACATGAGTTGGCAGCGAGCCTGGGCCACCGAATGTCCACTTTGGCAGTTCAAGCATGAAGCCAACAAAGATAGATGCAACTGGTTTCGAGAGGACAGAACCCACCTCCCTTGTTTTCTGCCATCCATTATATTTTGTGGCCATTTATGAAAGTTGCAGTGTCTGAAGACATGCCTGTGTCAACTTGAGAATCCTACAGATCCGACATCTGAAAAAAGGACCAATCTGTGGGTAAATCACCTGCTAAACATTACCATATTCCAGGCCGGGCCCACCAAACATTACTGTATTTCAGACCAGGCACAGTGTTTTCACGCCTATAATGTCAGGACTTTGGGAGGCCAAGGCGGGAGGATCACCTGAGGTCAGGAGTTCAAGACCAGCCTGGCCAACATGGTGAAACCCCATCTCTACTAAAAATACAAAAATTAGCCTGGCGTGGTGGCGGGCACCTGTAATCCCAGCTACTAGGGAGGCTGAGGCAGGAGAATCACTTGAACTCGGGAGGCGGAGCTTGCAGTGAGCTGAGATCACTCCAGTGCACTCCAGCTTGAGTGACCGAGTGAGACTCTGTTTAAAAAAAAAAAAAAAATAGGTATTGAGACATCACTTCTCCTCACAATCCTAAAATATTGCAAGAAGCAATCACCTAAATTCACAGGTAATTCGCTAACCCTTCTGAAGAGCCAGAGGCTGCAGGAAAGGGAACAAGATAGGTTGGGTCGGGCAAGGAGGGATGTTTTTCTCCATCTTTGTTTACGAGTCTAATTAATTCTCTTGGAGATAACCCTCCCCCGCCCCCCCAAAAAAAGATTACTTGGAAATTGGGCTGAGATTTTTCTTGTAAAGTGGGTTTACAGCTTCTGACATGGTAACTGTACTAGGGGACTGTTGATGTGTGTTTCTCGCTGTTTTTGTGCCTCTGGGAAGGAAGGACAGGTGTGTGCAAAATGTTTATAGACCAAAGAAAAGATGCTGCTGCTGTTTGAGGATGATCTAGTCTCTTAAAGTAACTGGAATAGCAATAACTGGCATTTGCATAGGACTATACAGAACACTTCCCAGCCGGGCACGGTGGCTCACGCCTGTAATCCCAGCCTGACTTTGGGAGGCTGAGGTGGGCGGATCACCTGAGGTCAGGAGTTCGAGACCAGACTGGCCAACATAATGAAACCCGATTTCCACTAAAAAAAAAAAAAAGTTGTCCGGGTGTGGTGGTGGGTGCCTGTAGTCCCAGCTACTCGGGAGGCTGAGGCAGGAGAATCACTTGAACCCGGGAGGTGGAGGTTGCAGGGAGCCGAGATTGCAGTGCTGCACTCCAGCCTGGGTGACAGAGTGAGACTGTCTCAAAAAAAAAAAAAACCCAGAAACCAAAAAAACCCCAAAACACTTCCTTCTGCATTATAATACATGAGCCTCGAGACAGCCTTGTGAGGAAGTTGTGTTGGCATTTTTTCACCTTCATTTGAGTTTTATGACCCTCAAGCTCAAGAAGGTTAAGTGACTTGACCAGAGCTGTTTAAGTAGGAAACGGGCAGGTGGGAACTACAGACATTTTTCTTTAAAAAAAAACTTTAAAAAACATGGTATTTATTTATTTATTAATTCCAGGCCAGTCATTCAAAAATACACAGTTTAGAAGTAAGTAGAACCCTGGACACTTCTTAACTATATGGTGCCACTTCCCAGAGCTGTGTGGTCCAGGGGCCGCCACTAGCTTCTCATGGCTGCGAAGCAGGTACCTGAGAATGAGGCAAGTCTACATCGAGATGCACTGAAGGTATAAAGTGCACCAGGCCCCTGAGACCCAGATACGATGAAAGGAATGTAATATGTCCTATTACTATTCGTTTATATTGATTACATTTCAACATGATCATGTTTCAGATGTATTGGGTTAAAATATATTAAGATTAACTTCACCTGTACCTTTTTACCTTTTTCTTTTTTTTTTTTTTGAGACAAGGTCTCACTCTGTAGTTCAGGCTGGAGTACAATGGCACGATTGTGGCTCACTGCGACCTCTGCCTCCTGGGCTCAAGCGATCCTCCCACCCCAACCTCCTGAGTAGCTGGGACCACAGGCACATGCCACCATGCCCAGCTAATTTTTAAATTTTTTGTAGAGATAGGGTCTCGCTTTGTTGCCCAGGCTGATCTCAAACTCCTGGGCTCAAGCAGTCCTCCCGCCTCAGCCTGTCAAAGTGCTGGGATTACAAGTGTGAGCCACCATGCCATGCCCAACCCTTTTTACCTTTCACTGTTAAGAAATTTAAGATGATACATGTGGCTTACATTATATTTCTATTGAACGGCACTGGCCTAGAACTATTTTCTGTGGTTTGCAATAGCATGATTTCTGTCTTGTATCGGTAACATGTCTCATATTTTACTACGTTCTAGCCTGTAAGAGCACCCCTCCATTTTGGGGCAGCAGGTTGCTTTAAACTTCCCTTTCTGTTTTGAAGACTGCTTTAAGAAACTTATACATTCTTTATTTCACTTTTTTTATTTTTAACCGACAGGATCTCGTTCTGTCACCTGGACTGGAGTGTGGTGGTGCATTCTTAGCTCACTGCAGCCTCTTAGCTCCTGGGCTCCAGGGATTTTCCCACCTCCTGAATAGCTGAAACTATGTGTGTGCATTACCATGCCCGGCATCTATATATATATATATATATTTACATTTACAGACAGGGTCTTGCTGTGTCGCCCAGCTGGTCTCGAACTCTTGGGCTCAAGCAGTCTGCCTGCTTCGGCATTCTAAAATACTGGGATTACAGGTATGAGCCACCACACCTGGCCTATTTTAGAATTTTAATATAATTCCAGTGATTTTAATGACATAGCCTTCCAGGTAAGTCTTGATTCATTGGCAGAGTGTATGTTTGGGGACTGTGTGTTAGATCCGTAGTTGTGGGTGTAGGAGTGTGAATGTGGCACACACGCTTGTGTGTGAAGAGGAGCAGAAGACGGGAAACAGACCTTGCAGGGGGCTTTGCCAAACCCTTCATGTCATACAGACTCTGCTTCTCTAAGGGTGAGGAGTAAAGATGTGTATTCTTCCCTTACCTGTAAAAAATACTGCCAAGGGCCGGGCATGGTGGCTCACGCCTGTCATCCCAGCACTTTGGGAGGCCGAGGTGGGCAGATCACCTGAGGTCAGGAGATCGAGACCAGCCTGGCCAAGATGGTGAAACCCCATCTCCACTAAAAATACAAAAATTAGCTGGATGTGATTGCATGCGCCTGTAATCCCAGCTACTCAGGAGACTGAGGCAGGAGAATCGCTTGAACCCGGGAGGCAGAGGTTGCAGTGAGCCGAGATGGCACCATTGCACCCCAGCCCGGGTGACAGAGTGAGGCTGTGTCTCAAAAACAAACAAGTAAACGAAAAAATACTGCCATGTGGGTGAGTTCCTGTTACTGATGGGAATGTGTTGGGTCAAAGTGGAGGGGAAAAATGCTGAAAATCACCACATCAGAGAGAGAGACTTTACAGCCCTCGGAAAAGAGGCCACTGGGAAAGGCTCTTGTTTTATAAGCTTTTTCCGACGTGTGCGTCCTTTCCTTTTGTCCTTCGTGGCCACGGGGCACCATAAAACTGGGGCCAGTCTGTCGGATGGAAGCCGGACGGCGTCCGACGTCCGGGCAGCCCGCAGGTCCCGCTCTCCGCAGCAAGGCCCGCTTACAACCTGGGAGTTTTGGAAGTCCGCTCGGCCAGCCCTTCCCCAGGCTTTGCTGGGGCTGCAGAAGAACTCTTAGGGCAGTCGACGCGGTGAGGCATGTACGGACAGAGTTTGGCCTTATTCAGTCTAATTATGAAAATTCTTGGCAGGAATTCTACATGAATCACCTCCAAAAAAATTTACGTTAAAGTTAATGCTACAAGTCTGACTTCAGCCCACAAAACTCAGAAAACTAGGTTCTGCGTCTACAAATGCAGCCTTAACTCCTCCTTGTCCACAGACTAGTGACTTTTACCACAAACAAGGGAGCGTGAATTTTGTTAGGAATCTGCCCGTGGGGGGTGAGGTTGGCTTCGGAGGGGGCCGCCCCAGTGGGGATTTGGTCTACCCTGAATGAAGGCAGGCGTCAGGCCCTTTGGCTGCGGTCATAATACGTTGTATGACTTCCGGCAGCTCCTTAGCCTCTCTGAACCTCAGTGTTCTATCTGGAAAATGGGGATAATAATACCTCAAAGGGTTGTCGTGGGTACTAAGTGAGCCCATATGTATAGAACTTGTAGCAGAGGCTGGGTGTCCTGGCTCACGCCTGGAATCCCAGCACTTTGGGAGGCTGAGGCAGGAGGATCACTTGAGCCCAGGAGTTTGAGACCAGCCTGTGCAACAAGGCAAAACACCGTCTTTACAAAAAATTTTAAAGTTAGCTGGGTGTGGTAGCGCACGCCTGTAGTCCCAGCTACTCAGGAGGTGGAGGTGGGAGAATCTGCTTGAGCCTGGGAGGCAGAGGTTGCAGTGAGCTGTGATCATACCACTGCACTCCAGCCTGGGTGACAGAGCGAGACCCTGTCTCAAAAAAAAAAGCATAGATCAAAAAACAGAGACTGGGCATGGTGGCGGGCGCCTGTAATCCCAGCTACTTGGGAGGCTGAGGCAGGAGAATCGTTTGAACACTGGAAGAGGAGGTTGCAGTGAGCCAAGATGGCACCACTGCACTCCAGCCTGGGTGACCGAGTGAGACTCTGTCTCAAAACAAAAACAAAAAAACAAAAAAACTTGTAGCAGAATTGAAGAGGTGAGCACGTCATAACTGTTAGCTGCTTTTATTATTGTTGTTATTATAGTTATACATTGTGTTCAATATTGTGGGTACCAGGGTGGTCGATGAAATGATGGGAGGGGAGGCTGGGTGCGGTGGCTCAGCCTGTAATTCCAGCTCTTTGGGAGGCCGAGGTGGGCGGATCACCTGAGTTCGGGAGTTCGAGACCAACCTGACCAACATGGAGAAAGCCCATCTCTACTAAAAATATAAAAAATTAGCCAGACGTGATGGTGCATCCCAGCTACCTGGGAAGCTGAGGCAGGAGAATCGCTTGAACCCGGGAGGCGGAGGTTATAGTGAGCTGAGATCGCGCCATTGCACTCCAGCCTGGGTGATGAGCGAAAGTCAGTCTTAAAAAAAAAAAAAAAGAATGATGGGCAGAGGCCATTGTGTTGTGTTAAAATAGTGTGAGTACCAGGGTGGTGGATGGAATGATGGGAGGGGCTGATGATGGGAGGGGCTGATGATGGGAGGGGCTGTCGTGGTGCTTGTTCTGTGTGACTCTTACCTTTTTTCCTCACGTCTCCTTCGTAAACAGGTTTGGAGGGAAGAAAGTAAGTCCTAGAAAGCCAGTGGCATTGCCACTGAGTGACAGTTGCCTTTAAAAAGCTTTCTCTGCTCACCTTTTGGGGGAGGGGACAGGGCAGGACGGCCCAGTGAGGCAGCATCTTTTCTTGTGTCGCCTTTTTCTCTCCACTGCCTTCTCCCTAGTAAATCTGTTTCTGCCTCGATGTAGATGTCCCGAGGACCTTCACCGTGATTTTCAGGTTCAGAAGGACATTCTCGTGCCTTCGACTTGAAGTATCAACCTCACGGATCCTCGTGGATCTCACGGGAAGTTAAAAAGCTTTTTCTGTTACCGGAACGGTTTCTGAGAACGCCAGAGCGAGCGTTGGCTTATGTCTGGAACGGACGGCGGACGTGGGTCCGTCGTGCGAGTGGGAGCAGTGAATAATGAAACTGGCGAGAGATGCCCTGACAGCAGCAACACTGTTCCCTGGTATCAGGTTCAGTCCTGACTCACTAGCTGGGACAAACACCCGAGGGTATTTTTGGGAGATGAGCCTGGAGGGCTGGAACCCTGGACCGTGTGGCTGTCCAGCTCACAGGCAGATGGCTCTGCATGAGACCATGTTTAAACAGCAAGCTGAGGCCGGGTGCGGTGGCTCACACCTGCAATCCCAGCACTTTGGGAGGCTGAGGCAGGTGGATCACCTGAGGTCAGGAGTTTGAGACCAGCCTGGCCATCATGGCGAAACCCCGTCTCTACTGAAAATACAAAAATTAGCTGGGCATGATGGTGGGTGCCTGTAATCCCAACTACTCAGGAGGCTGAGGCAGGAGAATGACTTAAACCCAGTAGGCAGAGGTTGCAGTGAGCTGAGATTGCGCCACTGCACTGCGGCTTGGGCGACAGAGCGATATCCCATCTCCAAAAAACAGAACAAAACAAAAAAACAAACAGCAAGCTGAAGGAGAGACTTTCAGGCTGAGTGTTTATGGGACAAAATGCCATCGATTTAGATTTAGATTTAGTTAATGTGCTTTGTTTGAATTCATTGCCCTGGTTTTCACGGGGGAGGTGTCCTGGTGTCCTTGAATCCCATGACTGTTGTTGGAGGTAGATCCCGTGCTTTTCATTTTAGTAACGAGGAAGCAGAGGTCAGGGCAGCTGAAGCATTTGAGTCACTTGGGATCTGGCAGAGCCGGGAGTTGGACCAGGTCTGCTGTTTCCCAGGCCAGAGTTCTTCCCCGGAATAAACTGCGGAGAGGAAAGGAGCTAGCGTTGATTAAGTGTCTGCCTTTGTGCCAGATACTGTTATTCCATTTCATGTAGAGATCATCTCCCCCCACAGATCCCTGCATGTTGCAGAGGGTGACGTTGAGGCTCAGAGGGGTTTTGGATACAAATGAGAATGCAGATCTATCTGGCCGGACGCCGTGGCTCATGCCTGTAATCCCATCACTTTGGGAGGCCGAGGCGGGCAGATCAAGTGAGGTCAGGAGATCGAGACCATCCTGGCCAACATGGTGAAACCCCATCTCTACTAAAAATACAAAAATTAGCCAGGCGTGGTGGTGGATGCCTGCAATCCCAGCTACTCGGGAGGCTGAGGCACGAGAATCACTTGAACCCGGGAGGTGGAGGTTGCAATGAACCAAGATCGTGCCATTGCACTCTAGGCTGGGCAAAAAGAGCTTAAACTCCATCCAAAAAAAAAAAAAAAAAAAAAAAAGAATGCAGATCTATCTTTTCATAAAGTCCACACTTTTCTCTCAAAACTCCCCTGCCTCCCAGAAGATGCTTCCAGCCCTGCAGATTGGGTCATTTATAACGTCTCTGCAGAATAATCCTGAGCTTTTAAATATTAGAAAACTTTCCATGAAGAGAAAAAAAGGTACTTTTTTTTTGGCCGTCTTCTCTGTAGACGTTAGCTTTTGAGTGGTTTTTGGCTTTCTAATAAAGTGCTAAAGTTTAGGGCCAGTCCCAGTGGTAAGAATTTGAAAAACTAGTATCATTCATGTTTCTTCTCCTTGAACGGGCAGATTCATTTTGCTTGTAAATAAACTCACCACCCTCCCTTCCCACCCTGGGAGGATCCTGATGCCATGGTTTGCCAGCAGCCTCCTGGGAGGAAAGAGATTTCCTCCTGATGTTTGTACCTTCCTCGTGCCTCTCTGTTCCTGCAAGAGGTGGGAATCTGGTGGGGAAGAGAGTGGGCTCTGAAGCCAGATGGTCAGCTCTGGGTTCCTGGCATTGTGGCCTTGGGCAGCTCACCATTTCCAGGCCTCCATTTCTCCATCTATAAAATGCTGTCTCTCTTCATGAGCTTTTTGGCTATATCTTCAGAAAGTTTGTGTTTTTTTTTCCTTTTTTTGTTTTGAGACGGAGTTTCGGTCTTGTTGCCCAGGCTGGAGTGCAATGGCGCAATCTTGGCTCACCACAACCTCTGCCCCCCCGGGTTCAAGCGATTCTCCTGCCTCAGCCTCCTAAGTAGCTGGGATTTCAGGCATGCGCCACCACACCCCGCTAATTTTGTATTTTTAGTAGAGACAGGGTTTCTCCATGTTGGTCAGGTTGGTCTCAAACTCCTGACCTCAGGAGATCCGCCTGCCTCGGCCTCCCAACGTGCTGGGATTACGGGCATGAGCCACCACGCCCGGCCCTCAGAAAAGTTTTAGTGTTAAACTCTATAGCTTGAGGATATCATTTACTTTAACAAAAGCCCTTTGATTTCCTTTGTGAAAATAATTAATTTAGAGACAGGGTCTCACTCTGTCACTCAGGCTGGGGTGCAACGACATGATCATAGCTCACTGCAGCCTCGAACTCCTGGGCTCAGGCTATCCTCCTGCCTCATCCTCCCTAGTAGCTGGGACTACAGGCGTGCACCACCGCCCCCAGCTTGTAAAATTTATCAACTGGGCAAGACCCTCCCTGCAGGAAGCTTTTTTTACTGTCTCCCAGGAAAAGAAACCCTGTACCTAAATCTCCGTAACAGAGAGGAGAGAAAGGAGGAAAGTGCGGAATCCGTGGTTTTGTTTTTTAAGGCTCAGCGCTAATTCCTGACGATATAATCATGAGTGAATCAGTCTTTGCCCTCAAGGAGCTAAATCTCCTTGCGGGAAAGAGAAGCAAGCTGTATCTTCTTTGCAGCTCTCAGTAATACCTGCCATTTTCTTGTTTATTGTTGTTTATTGATCGTCCTCCCTCACGAGAATATGAGCTCAGGAGAGCGGGCATCCAGGTGTCTCTCTCAGGGTCTTATTTTTTGTACCCAGCACGTCAATATTTGTTGAATTAATGGATGGATAGATGGAGTATTAAGCAAAGTAAGGAGACAGTTATAGTACTATTAATATAAAAGGTGCTGTAAGAAAAGCATGCACAGGCCGGGGTGCGGTGGCTCACGCCTGTAATCCCAGCACTTTGGGAGGCCGAGGCGGGTGGATCACCTGAGGTCAGGAGTTCAAGACGAGCCTGACCAACATGGTGAAACCGCGTCTCTACTAAAAATACAAAAATTAGCTGTGCATGGTGGTGGGTGCCTGTAATCCCAGCTACTCGGGAGGCTGAGGCAGGAGAATCACTTGAACCCGGGAGGCAGAGGTTGCAGTGAGCCAAGATCGTGCCACTGCACTCCAGCCTGGGCGACAGAGCAAGGCTCTGTCTCAAAAAAAAAGAAAAAAAAAAAAAGCATGCACAGAGGCAGAATCCCAGCCCTGTCCTTCCTTCTTTGCAGGGAGGGGATAGGAAGAAATGACTTTCAGAGTAGTTTTTTTGTTTTGTTTTTGTTTTTTTGAGACAGTCTGTTTTGTCACCCAGGCTGGAGTGCAGTGGTGCCCTCATGGCTCACTGCAGCCTCGACCTCCCAGTTTCAAGCAGTCCTCCCACCTCAGCTTGGAACTATAGGTGTGCACTACCGTCCTGGCTAATTTTTGTATTTTTTGTAAAGATGAAATTTCTCCATCTTACCCAGCCTGGTCTTGAACTCCTGGCCTGAAGTGGTCCTCCCACCTTAGCCTCCCAAAGTGCTGGGATTACAGGTGTGAGACATTGCGCCTGGCCTCAGAGTAGTTTCTCAGAGGAGATGGCGTCCGGACGAGTTCCTGACGGCAGAGTAAGAGTTAGTAGGTAAAGAAGATCAAAGCTGTTCCAGGCAGGGTGCTGGGATTACAGGGGTGAGACATTACACCTGGCCTCAGAGTAGTTTCTCAGAGGAGGTGGCGTCCGGACGAGCTCCAGATGGCAGAGTGGGAATTAGTAGGTAAAGATGGGATCAAAGGTGTTCCAGGCAGGGGAGCTGAAGAGGGGTGTGTCCCAGGAGAGCAGAGTGCATGGAACTAGGAAAGTGGTTCTCAACTGGGGCAGTTTTTCCCCCAGGGTTGTTTGTCCAGTCTTGGGGGGATGGTAAAGACCAGGAGTGCTGCTGGACATCCTGGAATGCACAGACCAGCCTCGACCAGGGAGAAACCATCCAGCCGCCAAGTGCTGAGGTTGAGAAACCCTGAGCCCCATGAAGACAGGAACAAAGATGAATGGCTGTGGGGAAGAAAGGCACAGCAGTAGGTGGGTAGTTACTTGAAAATTAAGCATTGCTTGACCAGCTCAATCCATGGAGAACTTTGAAGTGCACAATATCAAGTTATCCTTAAAATAATCTTAACTGGCCAGCAGCAGGGGTTCACACCTGTCATCCCAGCACTTCGGGAGGCCGAGGTGGGCGGATCACCTGAGGTGAGGAGTTCGAGACCAGCCTGGCCAACACGGTGAAACCCCATCTCTACTAAGAAAAAAATAGAAAAAGTAGCCATGCGTGGTGGCGGGCACCTGTAGTCCCAGCTACTCGGGAGGCTGAGGCAGGAGAACTGCTTGAACCTTGGAGGCCGAGGTTGCAGTGAGCCGAGATCGTGCCACTGCACTCCAGCCTGGGTGACAGAGTGAGACTCCATCTCGAAAAAAGAATAAAAGAAAAACAAATGCTGGACCGAGAATTCATTTAACACAGAGTTGACAGCACACTGAGGAAATCTTTGCGGATTGCCCTAGGACGGGGCATTGTGAAGCTAATAGGCAGTACTGTCTAATTTCTCAATTTCCTTTCAATAATAGCGGAACATGCCGGACGTGAATGAGGCCGCCCGGCATTTTCCTTCCCTTATTCAATTTACGTGCTGCCTTTTGACATCTGACTGATGTGGTAAGGATGCACCCCACCCTAGAACGTGCTTTCAAGAAGAAATTGAGTTTCTCTTAATCATGAGATCCATCTTGCTAATTGATTGTCCTGTAAACAGTGTGGGGCAGCCCATGCTGGCTTTGTTTCAGTGACGCTGGGGAAAAGCCACACGTCTCTGCTGTCATTTTGATGTCCACGCAGCTGCCTTTCCCATCTGGGTCACTGGAGGGTGGGAACAGCCCTTAACCTCTGCCTCCCTTTCCCAGGACAGAGCATTCGCCTCCCTGCAAGCCTGGCTCGGACTTGCCTGGGACCTGCCAGGAGCTGAACGTAGTTTTCTTTCTCCCATGGGAAATAATTTTCTTGGGCGCGGTGGCCGTGGGTTACCAGTCCCTGGCTGTCAAAGCTCACGCGTGTGTGACAGTGACGCTGTTGTTAGGCACGCCGGAGTTTCCATTACGGAGTCCGTGTATCTGCCGCGGGGACTTTCCTAGGAGAGGCGTCACTGCAACAGGCCTAGGAGGGGACTGGCTTGGGAAAAAAAGAAGAATATTGTGTGTGATATGCAGGAACTGAGAAATAGCGTGAGTTTGTTGAGGGGCCGGGGGCGGGTGGTCAGGACCGCGTGGTCCATTTTAGCATCTTCGAGATCTGCAGAGGTTCAAGTGTCTATTGTAGAGAATTTAGGGAAGCTTTGAAGTCGAGGAGAAGGTTCTATTACCAGAAACAACTCTCTGTAAAAACAGATGTCATCTGTCAATTCCACAAAAACTTCCTTGGGCCGGGGTGACTAAGATGAGAAGTGGGAGAACTGGATAGTTTAATAAATGTTTATATTTTACTTTAAAGCGAAGTTGAAACACGAAGACGATAGTTAACGTCTGGTAAGTTTATACGGTGTGCGAGGCAACAGGGAGAGGTACGGGAATAGTTCTACTTCCTTGTTTTTTATTCTTGTGTTTTAGACACAGGGTCTGCTGTGTTGCCCAGGCTGGAGTGCCGTGGCACGATCACAGCTCACTGTAATCTCAAACTCCTGTGCTCAAATAATCCACCTCAGCCTCCCGAGTAGTTAGGACTGCAGGCACACGCCACCATGCCTTGCTTACTTAATTTTTTTTTTTTTTTTGAGATGGAGTTTTGCTTTTGTTGCCCAGGCTGGAGTGCAATGGCTCGATCTCGGCTCACTGCAACCTCTGCCTCCTGGGTTCAAGTGATTCTCCTGCCTCAGCCTCCCGAGTAGCTGGGATTACAGGCATGCGCCACCACGCCCGGCTAATTTTTTGTATTTTTAGTAGGGACAGGGTTTCTCCATGTTGTCAGGCTGGTCTCGAACTCCCGACCTCAGGTGATCCGCCTGCCTCAGCCTCCCAAAGTACTGGGATTACAGGCATAAGCCACCATGCCCAGCCTATTTAATTTTTTTGTAGAGATAGTCTTGCTCTGTTGCCCAGGCTGGTCTTGAACTCTTGGCCTCAAACAATCCTCCCCACCTCAGCCTCCCAAAGCATTGGGATTACAGGTGTGAGCCACTGCCCCCAGCCCATCAACAGTTTGTAAAGCCCATTTTACTAAAAGATTCACCTTGGAAGATACTACATTGTTGAGAAGAATTAATGATGTTGGGAAAAATTAGTTTTTTTGTTTGTTTGTTTGTTTTTGAGACAAACAAAACCCAGGCTGGAGTGCAGTGGTGCGATCTCGGCTCACTGCAAGCTCCGCCTCTCAGGTTCACGCCATTCCCCTGCCTCAGCCTCCCGAGTAGCTGGGACTACAGGTGCCCACCACCACGCCTGGCTAATTTTTTTTTTTTGTATTTTAAGTAGAGACGGGGTTTCACCGTGTTAGCCAGGATGGTCTTGATCTCCTGACCCTGTGATCCGCCCACCTCGACCTCCCAAAGTGCTGGGATTAGAGGCGTGAGCCACTGCGCCCGGCCACATTGGGTCTTTTTAAACCAGAAAGTATTATTGTAGCAGCTTTAGAAGGTTGCTGAATTCTGTTTCTCCCCATACCCAGCTGTGTCATGGCAGCAGTCCCCATGGTGGTTTATGTTTGATCATCTCTCATTTTCTCTCATTTTTTTGCTTCTTTGGGTACCCTCTTTTCTTCCTCTCTCCATTAGAGAAGATGAACTATGAAGGGAAGGGGTGGGCCAGGCGCGGTGGCTCATGCCTGTCATCCCAGCACTTTGGGAGGCTGGGGCAGGCAGATCACCTGAGGTCAGGAGTTCAAGACTAGCCTGGCCAACATGGTGAAGCCCCGTCTCTACTAAAAATACAAAAATTAGCTGGGCGTGGTGGTGGGTGCCTGTAATCCCAGCTACTCGGGAGGCTGAGGCAGGAGAATCACTTGAACCCAGGAGGCGGAGGTTGCAGTGAGCCGAGATGGTGCCACTGCACTCCAGCCTGGGCGACGGAGTGAGATTTAGTCTCAAAAAAAAAAAAAAAAAAAAAAAAAAAAAAAAAAAAAAAAGGAAAGGGTGAAAGGAAAGGATGAGAGAGAAAGGCAATCAGGGAGAGCCAGGATTTCAGGGAATCATGAAGGCGGCCAGCGGGGACCTGGGTGTGCCCACGTTTCAGCCATGCAAATGCCTGAAGCCAAGTGGATTTAAAGTTGAGGCAGTCACATCTCAATTATGTTTTCAGATGGAAGGGGGTATTTTAGCAGCCAGTTTAGCAAAACTGGGGACCGTCTTCTTGGGGCGCCTCCGTCATGTCTCCGCCCGTCCCTGCGGACACCAGTGGCAGAGCTGCAGAGGCTGCCCCCGGCAGGACCCCCAGGTTCTGGGCATTGAGATGCTTCCTCTGGCTTCCAGGGTGCTGAGATGCTTCCTCTGGCTTCCAGGGCGTTTGAGATGCTTCCTCTGGCTTCCAGGGCGTTTGAGATGCTTCCTCTGGCTTCCAGGGCGTTTGAGATGCTTCCTCTGGCTTCCAGGGCGTTTGAGATGCTTCCTCTGGCTTCCAGGGCGTTTGAGATGCTTCCTCTGGCTTCCAGGGCGTTTGAGATGCTTCCTCTGGCTTCCAGGGCGTTTGAGATGCTTCCTCTGGCTTCCAGGGCGTTTGAGATGCTTCCTCTGGCTTCCAGGGCGTTTGAGATGCTTCCTCTGGCTTCCAGGGCGTTTGAGATGCTTCCTCTGGCTTCCAGGGCGTTTGAGATGCTTCCTCTGGCTTCCAGGGCGTTTGAGATGCTTCCTCTGGCTTCCAGGGCGTTTGAGATGCTTCCTCTGGCTTCCAGGGCGTTTGAGATGCTTCCTCTGGCTTCCAGGGCGTTTGAGATGCTTCCTCTGGCTTCCAGGGCGTTTGAGATGCTTCCTCTGGCTTCCAGGGCGTTTGAGATGCTTCCTCTGGCTTCCAGGGAGTTGAGATGCTTCCTCTGGCTTCCAGGGAGTTGAGATGCTTCCTCTGGCTTCCAGGGAGTTGAGATGCTTCCTCTGGCTTCCAGGGAGTTGAGATGCTTCCTCTGGCTTCCAGGGAGTTGAGATGCTTCCTCTGGCTTCCGGGGGTTGAGATGCTTCCTCTGGCTTCCAGGGAGTTGAGTTGCTTCCTCTGGCTTCCAGGGAGTTGAGATGCTTCCTCTGGCTTCCGGGGGTTGAGATGCTTCCTCTGGCTTCCAGGGAGTTGAGATGCTTCCTCTGGCTTCCAGGGAGTTGAGATGCTTCCTCTGGCTTCCAGGGAGTTGAGATGCTTCCTCTGGCTTCCAGGGAGTTGAGATGCTTCCTCTGGCTTCCAGGGGTTGAGATGCTTCCTCTGGCTTCCAGGGCATTGAGATGCTTCCTCTGGCTTCCAGGGAGTTGAGATGCTTCCTCTGGCTTCCAGGGGTTGAGATGCTTCCTCTGGCTTCCAGGGCATTGAGATGCTTCCTCTGGCTTCCAGGGAGTTGAGATGCTTCCTCTGGCTTCCGGAGGTTGAGATGCTTCCTCTGGCTTCCAGGCGTTGAGATGCTTCCTCTGGCCTTTTTTGAAGGCCAAGGCTTCTTTCCATTTCTTATGTCACGCTACTGAGCGATGGAGATAATTTTTGAAAAAGGGAAATCCAAGGAGGGCATTCTCACCAGAGTGAATATAGCAACCAAGGTGCTGTCTTTTAAGCTGGGACCGGAGGATTAGGCCTCTGTCTCCAGCCTCTGCCTAGGGTTTCCTGAGACTGGGCTCCATGCTTTCTCCCCTAAAAAGATTATCCCCCAGAGGAGTGTCCACAACCCATGCGCACTCAGAAAGCTCACCTTTTCCAGTCTCTGTCCAGGAACGTGGCCTGATACAACTGCACTGATTGACTCGTGGAAGTAACGAGAGCATTGCCCTGCTGGAGACTTGGCCTGCGTAGGCGTGTTCTCCCATCCGCATCTGCCAAGTGGAACAGCTTTGCCCTTTAGGGACATAGGCAAACGTCTGAAGACTTTAAATTTTTAATTGATAGACTTTGTTTCATAGAACAGTTTTAGGTTTTCAGAAAAACTGAGCAGAAAGTACAGAGTTCACAGGTACCCCTCCCTTGCCCTCCAGGTATTCCTGCTGTCATTACCATCTTGCATTGGTGCGCTACATTTGTTACAACTGAGGGGCTGGTATGGGTACATTGTTACTATCTGAAGTTCACAGCTTACCTTAGGGTTTATTGTTTGTGTTGGACACTGTTGGTTCTGACGAATGCATAATGAATGACATGCATCCACCAGGTTGGGATCATACAGAATTGTTTCACTGGTCTCAAAGTCTCCTGGGCTTCTGGAACCATTTTCGATTGTCACTAAGCGGGCATTACTGGCATTTCCTGGGACAGCGATGAACATTCTACAATGTGCGGAACAGCACCCCCCCACACACCCCACCCCGCCCCGCCCCTTCCCAGCAAAGTGTCAGCAGTGCTGAGACTGCGAGACCTGCTATGCAGACACTGACTTGCCAGGTGCGTTTGTGAGTGTTTTGTGGGTGGGGATGAGCTTGTGAGGCTCCAGTGCTGGAAACCTGGTGTTTGGATGAGGGGTGGCCTGGCTGTGCGGGGGCAGAAGAGAGGCACCAGGTGGATTTGGAGAGTCCTGGGAAGAGGGTCAGCTGTAAGTGAGAGGCAGCATTCCAGCCATAATCCCTACACACATTCCTGTAACTGTCACCGTCTTAAATTCAGAACATGAGGTCTGAGTCCAATTAAAATGCCCTAAGTTCTAATTGTTGGGCTGTGCATGGTGGGGTTAGCTTAGTTCCCTGTTGGGTTGTGCATGGTGGGGTTAGCTTAGGTTCCCTGTTGGGCTGTGCATGGTGGGGTTAGCTTAGTTCCCTGTTGGGCTGTACATGGTGGGGTTAGCTTAGTTCCCTGTTGGGTTGTGCATGGTGGGGTTAGCTTAGGTTCCCTGTTGGGTTGTGCATGGTGGGGTTAGTTTAGGTTCCCTGTTGGGTTGTGCATGGTGGGGTTAGTTTAGGTTCCCTGTTGGGTTGTGCATGGTGGGGTTAGTTTAGGTTCCCTGTTGCGTTGTGCATGGTGGGGTTAGCTTAGTTCCTTGTTGGGTTGTGCATGGTGGGGTTAGTTTAGGTTCCCTGTTGGGTTGTGCATGGTGGGGTTAGTTTAGGTTCCCTGTTGGGTTGTACATGGTGGGGTTAGTTTAGGTTCCCTGTTGGGCTGTACATGGTGGGGTTACCTTAGTTCCTTGTTGGGTTGTGCATGGTGGGGTTAGTTTAGGTTCCCTGTTGGGTTCTGCATGGTGGGGTTAGCTTAGGTTCCCTGATGGGCTGTGCATGGTGGGGTTAGCTTAGGTTCCCTGTTGGGCTGTGCATGGTGAGGTTAGCTTAGGTTACTCCCCAACTAAGTACAGTCTCTGATGTATCTGTGATGGAACTAAAAGCACAAGTCTTGGGTTGAGGTCCCCCGTGTTGAAGCATCATAGCCTCTCACTGCCTCAGTTTCCTTTTCTGAAAAGGAAGACAGTTGTCCTAGTCTCATTGTAGACAGAGTATCTTCATGAGCTGATATCCTCAGTGTTCTCTGGTTAGCTTTTGTGATGCCAGGGCTGTATTATGACCTTTTATTAAAGGCAGATATGGATGCTAAATGTGTTTGAATGGGATGGAAAGCCATCAGATGACCTCTTATAAACATGAGAGATTTAGGCCGGGTGCAGTGGCTCACTGCCTGTAATCCTAGCACTTTGGGAGGCCAAGGTGGGAGGATCGCTTGAGCTCAGGAATTCGAGACCAGCCTCAGCAATATGATGAGACCTCATTTCTACAAAAAATTAGCTGGGCATGGTGGCACACAGCTGTGGTCCCAGCCATTCGGGAGGCTGAGGAGGATCGCCTGAGCTCAGGATGTCAAGGCTGCAGTGAGCTGTGATCGTGCCACTGTGTGACAGCCTGGGCAACAGAGTGAGATGGACGGATGGACGGACGGATGGACGGACAGACGGATGGGTGGACAGACGGATAGATAGATAGATAGACAGACAGACAGACAGACCGATAGATAGATTGATTGATTTGTAAGGGAAAAATACAAATGTTCCAAGTCAGCACTTTGCAAATGGAGGGGCCGTATTCGTGAAGCAGGTGGTGTAGCATCAGCCTCACAGACCTCATTGCCCCATAAATCTCATCAAATAGGAGCAAGAATTCTATCCCCCTGATAGGCCTGGGAGGAGAATCCAAAAGCCAAACTCACTCCCTTATGGAATGTAAATATGGATCAAGAGAGATGTTTCTTTTCGTAAATTACTTCCTCCACCCTTATCTGTCAGAAGTCATAAAACCCCAGATGTAACCAGAAAAATCCAGAAAAATATTATTTTGAAAAAACTCTTGGCTAGATGCGGTGGCTCATGCCTGTAATCCCAGCACTTTGGGCGGCCGAGGTGGGCGGATCACGAGGTCAGGAGATCGAGACCATCCTGGCTAACAAGGTGAAAACCCCATCTCTACTAAAAAAAAAAATACAAAAAATTAGCCGGGCGTGCTGGTGGGTGTCTGTAAGTCCTAGCTACTGGGGAGGCTGAGGCAGGAGAATGGCGTGAACCCGGGAGGTGGAGCTTGCAGTGAACCGAGATTGTGTCACTGCACTCCAGCCTGGGCGACAGAGTGAGAGTCCGTCTCAAAAAACAAAAAGAAAAATTTCTTTCTTTGTGGGTGCATCTTTGGGCTGGAGCGGGAAGAGCTTTGCGGAACAAAAGTGTTCCAACTGAGGCATATAAAACAAATTTTATTCAAACTTTAATTATCTCCCACCTGCTGGTGCTTTGTGATGTTCAGAGGGAAAAGGATCATCGAGAACAGCATTTGATGTGCATGAGAGTTGCTGGTTTTTTTCTGTTCTTAGATGGGATTTATTCTTAAGTTTATTTCATAACGAGTAGGTCCAGACACTGAGTTCACGCCGGCATGCTTGATACTGTTTAATTAAGATCCTTTACACATGAGGTGTTGACTTTTGTTGTGTTGAATTCAGTTTCTTCCTAAGTTTGGACCTTGGGTTTTGGGTGTCTTTCTTCATCCTGGTGAGAGGGATGGGGTACTGGGCGTGTGCTCTTTGTGAGTGGGGGTACGTGATCTACGGCAGGTTGGGGGAGCGAAGGGAAAACGTGGCAGTGCTTTGCTTTTCACCAGGCTCCGAAATATCCACAGCCTTAGACTTGAAACCCGAGTGTCATTCCTCATTTTGCATTCTGCAACAGCCAACAATTAATCTGTCTGCATTTCTTTTCTCTCTCTTTTCTTTCTTTCTTTTTCTTTCTTTCTTTCTTTCTTTCTTTCTTTCTTTCTTTCTTTCTTTCTTTCTTTCTTTCTTTTTCTTTCTTTCTTCTTTTCTTTTCTTTCACAGTCTCGCTCTGTTGCTCAGGCTGTAGTGCAATGGAGCAATCTCGGCTCACTGCAACCTCCGCCTCCCGGGTTCAAGCGATTCTCCTAGCTGGGATTACAGGCACACGCCACCACCAGGCTAATTTTTGTATTTTAGTGGAGACAGGGTTTTGCCTTGTTGGCCAGGCTGGTCTTGAACTCCTGACCTCAGGCGATCCACCTGTTTTGGCCTCCCAAAGTGCTGGGATGAAAGGCGTGAGCCACCGCATCCGGCCAATCTCTCTGCATTTCTCATTCATTTCTACCTTCCTGTGGTCTTTTTGCCTCCGATGCAGGATCACTGCGGGTAGCAGGGCTTAGAGCTTTTCAGTATGTTTCGACAACGGTAGCTTCATCACTGAAGCACAGGGCACGTGCAGGTGCTGGGCTTTCTGCTCTGTCTTCTCACTTAATCCTCCTGAGAAGGCAAGTGTGGCACGTGCAGGCGCTGGGCTTTCTGCTCTGTCTTCCCACTTAATCCTCCTGAGAAGGTAAGTGCCACATAGCTGGCAGGTGGTGGAGATGAGATTTGAACCTGTTTCCTGACCACAATCCATCGGTTAACCACAAACATTAGTGTCTTTCTCTTTGTGCTGTAAGGCTTAGAACCCCCAGCGTTCTGGTTCTTGTTTCTTCTGAGTCAGATGTTTCAAGTGGCTCCGTCAATCTTTTTTTTTTTTTTTTTTTTGAGATGGAGTTTTGTTTTGCACTTGTCGCCCCCAGGCTGGAGTGCAGTGGTGCGATCTCAGCTCACAGCAACCTCCACCTCCTGGGTTCAAGTGATTCTCCTGCCTCAGCCTCCTGGGTAGCTGGGATTACAGGTGCCCACCACCATGTCCAGCTAATTTTTGTATTTTTAGTAGAGACGGGGTTTCTCCATGTTGGTCAGGCTGGTCTCGAACTCCTGACCTCAGGTGATCCACCTGCCCTGGCCTCCCAAAGTGCTGGGATTACAGGTGCGAGCCACCACACCTGGCCTCTGTCAATCTTTATGTAAGTTCTGATGCATCTAGAATGTCCTCTCTCATCCCAGCTGTATTTATTTTTTATTTTTTGCTATGATTGATAATAGCAATTGTCTGAAGACCTAAGAGCACCCTCGTTTTCTTGAAGTCAAAAAACCTTGCTGAGACCAGGTGTGATGGCTCATGCCTGTCATCCCAGGACTTTGGGGGGCCAAGGTGGCCAGATCCTTTAAGCCCAGGATTTCTTTGCCAGACTGGGCAACACAGCGAGACCCCATCTCTACAGAATGATTTTAAAAATTAGCCAGGAGTGGTGATGCATGCCTGTGGTCCCTGCTACTCAGGAGGCTGAGGTGGGAGGATCGCTTGAGCCCAGGAGGTCGAGGTTGCAGTGAGCTGTGCTTGCACCCCTGCACTCCAGCCTGAGGAACAGAGCGAGGCCCTGTCTCAAAGAAGTAAAGATTATAAATTAAAACTAATCTTGTGGAACTTAGTCCTGCTGTAAGATACAGATTTTCCTTTTTATTGCATGAGAAGTCCCTTAAACCCTGCTTTCTGTCCCTCTCTGTACCCCGTACGGTACCTGCGCCCCATCCGTGTCGTATGAACCCAAGTTGAGGAGACAGGAACACTCCTGAGCATGTGCTGTACCTGGCACGCTTCTCAACCGTGACCCGTGTGGCAGTTACAGACCTCTCTGTTTTACACGAGGGAGCTGAGGCTTGGAGAGGTCTGGTGGACTTGCTTTGAACCTCACGGCTAGTGGGTTGTCATAGATCCAAGGGTTTAAACTCAGGCCTCCGTGACGCTGAAGCCCACGTCCTTGCCTCTCTGTTCTTCTTTTCCATCGAATGGGAATTGGGTCAAATGGAATTCTGCCTTTTTCTTAGGAAAAAGGAGGTGGAAAAGGCATGTAGAAACACGTAGAAAGCCTTTCTCTTTTTTCCCCCTCAAGCCATAGGGGCCAGCTCTGTGACGGTGGTTCACTGACATGGAGCGAATGGAAAAATGGGGTCATGTCTCCGCCAGAAGCCTGCATTCCCGTTTAATTGGCGAGCACACACTTTCTTTGTATTTGTTTACCTTATGGCTGGTTCTGACAAATAAAATGGATTCTTTTCTCGGCCTCTTCACTTGGGAGGAGTAAGCTGTGGGGTATTAGTGGAGGGAGTGAAGGCCTGAAAATGCCCGGGATTTGGAAAATCTCCGAGAATGTGGTGCAGAAGAAGGTATTCTTGACTTTGGTGACGAGCATATGAACGGCAGCTTCCCAAGTTGGTGACAAGAGCTCATGAACGGCAGCTTCCCCAGTCACCCTCACTGAATCGGACGCTGCCTTGTGACTGTACGTTGTCCACACCTCCCCCTGCACCTCCGCCAAACCTTCGTCGCTGTGGCCACTTGCCTGGGAGAGGACTGGCCGGTCAGCTAGCATGGATTTATGGAGCTCCCACCAGATAAAAGACTGAGGCCAGGCGCGGTGGCTCACGCCTGTAATCCCAGCACTTTGGAAGGTTGAGGCGGGTGAATTGCTTGAGGCCAGGAGTTCGAGACCAGCCTGGGCAACATGGTGAGACCCCCATCTCTACAGAAAAAAAAAAATACAAAAATTAGCCAAGTGTGGTGGTTCACGCCTTGTAGTCCCAGCTACTTGGGAGGCAGAGGTGGCAGGATTGCTTGAGCCCAGGAGGTTAAGGCCGTAGCCATGATCACTCCACTGCACTCCAGCCTGGATCTGAAAAAAAATAAATAAATAACAAAATAAAAGTTTGTTTTATCCAGACTGTCAGGCAAAAATGTTAGGATAAACAATAGAATGAGATCAAAGCCTTCCTCTTTTTGCTTTAGGTTGGAATTCAAACCATCCAGTGTAGTAAGAGGTATTATTTCTATTTTTTTTTTTTTTTTGAGACAGAGTCTCACTCTGTCGCCCAGGTTGGAGTGCAGTGGCACGATCTCAGCTCACTGCAAGCTCCACCTCCCGAGTTGAAGTGATTCTCCTGCCTCAGTCTCCTGAGTAGCTGGGACTACAGCTGTGTGCCACCACGCCCGGCTAATTTTTTGTATTTTTAGTAGAGATGGGGTTTCACCACATTGGCCAGGCTGATCTCGAACTCCTGACCTCAGGTGATCCACCCACATTGGCCTTCCAAAGTGCTGGGATTCCTGGCGTGAGCCACCGCGCCGGCCAACGGTGTTGGTTCCCGTGGAGCGAAGCCTCTCCGTGCGCTGCCAGCCTCCCAGGGAAGAATCATGAGCAAGTGGCAGGTGTCCAGCAGAATCTATCTTACGTCTCTTGGAATAAATATTCCCTCTGGCTCGGTAAGAGCAAAACCCTTTAGTCCAGCTTGGATGTTAGAGAACCTTCTGCTTGCTTAATTTATTGATTTTTTAAAGCCAAAGCAATGTCAGCAGAGCCAAGAATAATGTTGGAGAGATTCTAAGAACATGGCCTTGCGTAGTTTTCCTGACTGAAATCCACTCTGCCTAACACTGGGGACCTGGGAGCTGCTTCCGTGGAGAAACCCGGACCCGTGGTCAGAATGGGGTGGCTCCTGACACAGAGCCTTCAATTTCTGATGGGCTCCACCTGGCCCCAGCCTCTTTGTGCCTTTTGTGTGGTTCCATGCCAGGGTTTTGAGCTGCGTTTGGAGCCTTTGGTTAGAATTTTCTAAGGAGCATTAAAAGTGAGTACCACAGCTGGGCGCGGTGGCTCACGCCTATAATCCCAGCACTTTGGGAGGCCGAGGCGGGCGGATCACGAGGTCAGGAGATCGAGACCATCCTGGCTGACACGGTGAAACCCCGTCTCTACTAAAAAAATACAAAAAAAAAAAATTAGCCGGGCGTGGTGGCGGGCGCCTGTAGTCCCAGCTACTCGGGAGGCTGAGACAGGAGAATGGCGTGAACCCGGGAGGCAGAGCTTGCAGTGAGCTGAGATTGCGCCACTGCACTCCAGCCTGGGGGACAGAGCGACTCTGTCTCAAAAAAAAAAAAAAAAAAAAAAAAAAAAGCGAGTACCGCAGCCCCCAGGTGGGCATGGCGCCTCTCTTCAGAGAGGGGCATGTGTGCGCAAAGAAAAGGAAGCCATTTACTTCCAGAGATGATTCCTGGCTAAGAAACGATTATGAGAAATGAAAGACTAGACATAGGAGACGGACTATGAAATCCTGAACTCTTTTTTTTTTCCTTTTCTTTTCTTTTTTTTGAGATTGAGTCTCGCTCTTGTTGCCCAGGCTGGAGTGTAGTGGTGCGATCTCCGCTCACTGCAACCTCCACCTCCCGGGTTCAAGTGATTCTCCTGCCTCAGCCTCCCAAGTAGCTGGGATGACGGGCGCCTGCACCACGCCCAGCTAATTTTTGTATTTTTAGTAGAGACGAGGTGTCACCATGTTGGCCAGACTGGTCTCTTGGCCAGGCTGGTCTCAACCTCTGACCTCGTGATCCGCCCGTCTCGGCCTCCCAAAATGCTGGGATTACAGGCGTGAGCCACTGCGACCGGCCGCATATGTTGAGTCTTATTAGTCTCTGTCCTAAACTTGACTGATCATGATGGGACATGTCAGCCTGAATGAGACCCTTTCCTGGACCTCTCTTTCATACTGTATCATCCCACCCAGGAGGCCTGACTCAGCTCCGCTTGGTCTTAGATGTCCCTCTTACCCCTAAAGGGGATGGCGCTCGCCATAGGATGCCCCAGGCCAGATTCTTCTTTCATTTACACCTTGGTCATTCTCCTGTGTCCTCCGCTGAGTGTTTGTTTTGGGGGAAAGCCCACACTTTCTTTAGCTCCCAAGATTCTGGATTGGTGATTGGAATACAGATGTTTCAAAACTGTTCACATTCTAGAAACATGTTTTATCGGGACATCCAGAGCTGTTGAGACACTTGGGATCCGTCTTCAGCTCCGTTTAGCTTATTAATTCCCGAGGGACCGTCCATCCCTTTTCTAGTATCTGAACGTTTGGATTCAAGACTCCACTTCCCTGCTAGGTGGCTGGAGAAGCAAACCAGGGTCCAGAAGGTGTTCTAGAAAGTCGGGTGGATGGGGAGAGAATGGAGGAGGAGGATCCGTCCCAGCCTGTCCCCAGCCCAACGGCCCTTTTCCTGTGGCCATCAAATCTTTGTGTCCAGAGTGTTGTCCTTCCCCTGGACAGTGCCGGACACACTTCCCTGACTCGCTTTGGCGAGTTTTCTCTGCTTCTTTTTGACCATGCCCTGCAGTCATCATCCACAGTTCCCCGAATCTCTCTGTTTTTTTTACATGATTATTATTTTTTAGAGACAGGGTCTCGCCCTGTCACCCAGGCTGGAGTGCAGTGGTGCAGTCATAGCTCACTGTCACCTCAAACTTCTGGGTTCAAGGGATCCTCCCACCTCAGCCCCCCAAGTAGCTAGGACTCTAGGTGCACGCCACTACACACAGCTTCGTTTTATTATTTATTTATTTATTTATTTATTTTTTGAGTCAGAGTCTTGCTCAGTCCCCCAGGCTGGAGTGCAGTGGTGCAATCTCAGCTCACTGCAAGCTCCGCCTCCCAGGTTCATGCCATTCTCCTGCCTCAGCCTCTCAAGTAGCTGGGACCACAGGCGCCCACCACCACGCCCGGCTAACTTTTTGTATTTTTTTTAGTAGAGACAGGGTTTCACCATGTTAGCCAGGATGGTCTCGATCTCCTGACCTCGTGATCCGCCCGTCTTGGCCTCCCAAAGTGCTGGGATGACAGGCGTGAGCCACCGCGCCCGGCCCAGCAATGTTTTATTGTTATCTTTTAGTAGAGATGGGGGCTGCATATGTTGCTCAGGCTGGCCTTAAACTCCTGACCTCAGGTCATCCGCCTGCCTGGGCCTCCCACGCTGATTGGGATTACAGGCGTAAGCACCGCACCTGGGCCTGCAACTCTGTCTTTAGATCTTGCGGCTTTGCTGCCTCCCACTTCTGTACAAAATGTGGCACCATGACCCCTGAAGTCCTGCCCCGTGGCTTCTGTATATGATGGGACCGTGACCACTGAAGTCCTTGCCCTGTGAGCCTTCCTCAGTGCTTTTCTTTCTGGGCATTTCTGCCCTTCCAGCATCGACCTGGCTTCATGGAGAGGAGACCAGAGGGTCCCCTCCAGAGTCATCTCTCTTGGGAGGAGCTTTGGCTTCTTAGCCTGGCATGTTTTTGGCCAGCTTCTTTCTTTCCTTAGCCTGAGGTCATGGAGGTGATGTAGGCGGGGTTTGGAGCTGTGGATGGAAATTTGAGGCCTGTGCTGGTTCAACTCCAAGAACAAAGACTACTTTGACAACAGCCAGTGAGCAGCTTCTGCTGGGAGTTCTGGGCGGGGGGCAGGGGTGGGAGGAAGAGAGGCCTCTGTGAACAGGGTGTTTCCATGTCTCAGAAACAGATTCAGTAAGAGACAGTCAGCATCGTCTTCCCCCAGCCTTTCCCTTACTGGCCTGATTGACACCGTCGCTGTCTGAGTTGTGGAGAGAGAAGGAATGGGCAGGAGAGATAGGAAACAAGGCCCTGGTGTGTGTTTTTTTCTTTCCATTTAAAAATAGGAAGTTGGCCAGGTGTAGCCTTCCCCAAGTAGCTAGGACTCGAGGTGCACGCCACTACACACAGCCAAGTTTTATTTTTATCTTTTAGTGGAGACGGGGGCTCACGCCTGTAATCCCAATGCTTTAGGAGGCCAAGATGAACAGATCACCTGAGGTCAGGAGTTCCAGACCAGCCTGGCCAACATGGTGAAACCCTGTGTCTACTAAAATTAGCTGGGCGTGGTGGCGGGCGCCTGTAATTCCAGCTACTAGGGAAGCTGAGGCAAGAGAATCGCTTGAACCCGGGAGACAGAGGTTGCAGCAAGCCAAGATCGCGCCACTGCACTCCAGCCTGGGCGACAGAGCAAGACAACGTCTCAAAAACAAAACAAAGAGGCCGGGTGCGGTGGCTAACGCCTATAATCCCAGCACTTTGGGAGGCCAAGGCAGGCAGATCACGAGGTCAGGAGATCGAGACCATCCTGGCTAACACGGTGAAACCCTGTCTCTACTAAAAATACAAAAAATTAGCCGGGCATGGTGGTGGGCGCCTGAAGTCCCAGTTACATGGGAGGCTGAGGCAGGAGAATGGCGTGAACCCGGGAGGCGGAGCTTGCAGTGAGCCGAGATTGCGCCACTGCACTCCAGCCTGGGTGACAGAGCGAGACTCCATCTCAAAACAAAACAAAACAAAACAAACAAAAGAAACCCCTGCAATTGAGGCAGTTGGGGCAGAGACGGGGGAGGGCTCCGCCTCATTCAGGAGCTGTCTAGGAAGTGACTGAGCAGAAATGAGGAAGAGAGAAGCATGGGGAAGGACTGCCAGGTTTCTGGTTTGGGGACACTGGGTGGAGGGTAGTTGGTTCCATTCATGGAGACAGGGAACCATGGCAGGGAAAGGCAGGGAGGGAGGGAGGGGAGGTGGTCACTTGTGGGAAGGTGGCCGTGCTCAGGAGGCAGCACCCTGTGCCCACGCTGGAATTCTCAGTTACCTGGCTCTAGATGAGATGAAGACAAATTATTTTTTTCTCCTTCTTGTTGGTATGAGTTCTTTTTTTAGGTTTAATTTAACACAATAAAATTCATGGTTCTTAAGGACCCAGCTCAGTGTGTTTGAACAGCTGTTATACCGATATGAACAATTATCCAAACAAGACCAAGAACATTTCCATCTCCCTGCACAGTCCCCTGCTGAGCCTCTCTGGTGACTCCCCCTCCCATCCGTCGCTTTGGTTTTCTGTCACTGTAATTTAGTTTTGCCTGTAGACCGTCATGGAAATGGAATCGTACAGTCAGTGTTATTTTGTGTCGGGCTTCATTTGCTCAGCATGATTGTGAGGTTTATCCTTGTTTTTGTATACATCAGTTTGTTCCTTCTTATTGCTGAGAAGTGTCCCATTGGACGAGCATCTTGTCACAGTGTATCCATTCTTCCAATGATGGATGTATGTGAGTTGTTGTCAGTTTGGGGTGGGGAAGGCTGTTATAAACATTTTTATGGACTTAAAAAAATTATCTTGGGTAAATACTGATGAGTAGGAATCCTGAGCGGTAGAATTCTGAGTCGATTATCAGGTAAATGAACATTTACCTTCATAAGATGGACCAAACGGTTCTTCAAAGTGGTTGTACTGACCAGGCATGGCGGCTCACGCCTGTAATCCCAGCACTTTGGGAGGCCAAGGCAGGCAGATTTCTTGAGCCCGGGAGTTTGAGACTAGCCTGAGCAACATGGCGAAACCCCGTCTCAATGGAAAATTTTCGAGTGTGGTGGTACGCGTTTCTAATCCCAGCTACCCGGGAAGCTGGAGGATCACTTGAGTCTGGGGTGCTGCGGCGAGCTGAGATCGCACCACTGCACTCCAGCCTGGGTAACAGTGAGATCCTGTCTCAAACAACAACAAAGTGTTTGCACCATTTATGTCCCCGGCAGCGGAGTGTGAGACTCGCACTTGCTCCACGTCCTCACCCGGGTTTGATACTGTGGGTGTGTTTTACTTTTGCTATTCTAGTCAGTGTGAAATCATTTTAATTTGCATTTCCTTGATGACACCTTTGCATATTCTTACTGGCTGTCCACCTATCTACTTTCTGGACGTGTCTGTTCATATCTGCTTGTTGAGAGTGTGCACTCCCAGAGCCTGGGCCACGGCTCAGCTACCTGCCGTAGATGGGGCAGGAGGGAAGGAGACGTTTGCAGAGATTTGAACCACAGGAACCAGTCAGCCCCTTGGAGCCCTGGCCCAGGCTGTGGGATTTTCGGAGGAGGCCTTCCATTTTCATCTGTCCTGTTATCAAACCAACTGCATTACTTAGTGTCTGCTTGGAAGTATCTGTCCTTCGCAGTCAGCTTACTCTTTTGGCCAAAAGGAAGCTCTGCTCCTAGATATGGATAAGGAATTTGACAGATCTCCAGCCCTGCCCCCTTAGGAGAAGGCCAGCCCCTCTGCTTCTTCCCCTGTGAGTGGACGTCCTTGGATGCATTAGCTCAGGCGAACTTGGAAGATTCTGTGGGTTTTGTGTGGCCTATTTTGAGTCTCATTGTTTGGCTTTAATCAGAAAAATAAACACTTATTTTTAATTTTCTCCCTGGCCTGGCTGAGCTAGGTTCAAACGATCTTTTTTAACTTGACCACATGTGAATGACCGGAAATGATGTCCTGTTGGGGAAATGGGTCATTTCCAAGATTTTCTCTCCAGGAAAAGTGTAACTTATTAGTTTCCTAAGAAAGGCTCTAACAGGCCACAAAGAAGTTCTTATTAAGACGTTTTCTCCTTTTATGTGGTCCTAATCACAGCCTTATCACAAACCCCAGCCCTGGTTGTTAATCCAAGGTATTTAGTTCTTGTATTTTATATACAAGGAAATAAAGAGACGCCTCCCTCACTCCTCCGCCCCCGGAAATAAAGAGACGCCTCCCTCATTCCTCCGTCCCCAGGAATGATTCGCCCAAGGGTGGGTGTTGTCTCCGGGGACCAGGATCAGGAATTACGCCCTGAATAAGGATAAAGACCTTTTTTCCCTTCACTGAAACAATCATTTTAAAAAATTTGCTGTGATCTCACTTTTTTATTTTAAATTCCTTTAATGAAACCTCACCCTCAAACTTGATACATCAGAAGATTTGCTTGGACTAAAAGTGGAATTTCCATCTTAACCACATGGCTCCGAGGTTCTGCTCTCAGGATGAATTGGGCTCCATGTCATTTTGTTTGTCACTTTCTTCTCGGACCAGCGCAGTGGCTTCACCACAGTGGGCACTGTGGTTGGATTCCGTACCTGTGAGAGAAGTTTCTAGAATCCTTTGGCTTGAAATACACATACTTGGCCACATTCTTTCTTCTGAACCGTCTTCTGTTGCCGCCCCCTGCCGGAGGCTAGAAAGAGACACCTGCAGAAAAGCTCCTCCCACCAGCTCTCCTCCCAAGATGCAGAAAGGTGACGCCCGCCAAACCCCAGCGGGTTCCCAAGAGGCCTTTGTGTTGGACGCCTCCTGCTTCTCAGTCAATGAGTCGTGTCCTTTCCCTGCTTGCCAGAAACCTTTAGCTCCACGGGTTTAAAACCAGACTCGTGGCCGGGCGCGGTGGCTCATGCCTGTAGTCCCAGCACTTTGGGAGGCCGAGGCGGGTGGATCATTTGAGGTCAGGAGTTCAAGACCAGCCTGGCCAACTTGGTGAGACCCCGTCTCTACTAAAAATTCAAAAATTAGCCTGGCATGGTGGGCGCCTGTAATCTGAGCTACTTGGGAGGCTGAGGCGGGAGAATCGCTTGAACCTGGGAGACGGAGGCTATAGTGAGCTGAGATCGTGCCACTGCACTCCAGACTGGGTGACAGAGTGAGACTCTGTCTCAAAAAAAAAAAACAAAAAACCAAAAACCAAAAACCAAACCAAAACAAAAAAAACCCAGATTCCTTTCCCTGCTCTTCACTAGTTTTTCTTCCGCTTTGTTCTCTCCTTCTCCTTCCCTCTCTGTCTACTTGTTGTTTTTTTTGAGACAGAGTTTCTCTCTTGTTGCCCAGGCTGGAGTGCAATGGCGCGATCTTGGCTCACTAAAACCTCTGCCTCCCGGGTTCAAGTGATTCTCCTGCCTCAGCCTCCCGAGTAGCTGGGATTAGAGGCGCCTGCCACCACACCTGGCTAGTTTTTGTATTTTTAGTAGAGAGAGGGTTTCGCCATGTTGGTCAGGCTGGTCTTGAACTCCTGACCTCAGGTGATCCACCCACCTCAGCCTCCCAAAGTGCTGGGATTACAGGCGTGAGCCACCGCACCTGGCCTGTCTACGCATTCTTTCATTAATTTGTTCTTTAAACACATATTAGAGCTTTTAACTGGCTCTGCGTGTTTTTTTAGGCTCTGGTTATGAATAGGGTCTCACTGACGCATCTACCCAAGCTACAGGCCTTGACATTCTCATTTCCCCCCATTCACTGGGTTCAATCAGGTTGGGGCACTATTGTTTCACTAGTCCCTTAATGAGTCCACCAACTTCCAGTCTCACCCTGTCTACACAGCTCCCAGAACAACCTGGCTACAGTACCAGTTGTTCACGTCACTGCCCTATGGGCCAGCCCTCATTACGGGTGGATCCAACCCAAACTCCCTGGCGTGGACTTCAAGGGCACCCCCTCCCCTGCCCCCAAACCCCACCTTCAAGGGCACCCCCTCCCCTGCCCCCACACCCCACCTTCAAGGTCCCCCCACCCCCGCCCGCAAACCCCTCCTTCAAGGGCACCCCCTCCCCCACCCCCAAACCCCACCTTCAAGGGCAACCCCTGCCCCGCCCCGAAACCGCACCTGGCCTTCTAGCATCCTCACCTTTGCACACTCTGCTCAGCCACACTGGTCGACCCCCAGGGTCCCCAGACACATCGCCCATTGCCGTACCTTGGAACCTTTGAGCATGATGGCCCCTGCTCCTGGGATTCCCTCCGCTTCTTCTCTCTCCGATGAGGTTGTGTACTAATGTCAGCTGTACACGTTGTCTTTTCAGCATGTTACCTCCTCTCAGAAGCCTGCCCCCACGCTGTGCAATGGTCGCTGTGCAGATCTCTGTTACGGCGTCATTGCCTGCATTCTACTTAGCTCTCGTCTGTCTCCCCTCCAGACTGTGCCCCCAGGGCTTCCAGGTCTAGCCTCATTTCTAATAGTTTGTTGCCACGATGTCACGAATTAGAGCCCTGTCTGTTAGCCCACAGGGCTCCAGCCTCACCCTCTCCCACAGCTCCCGTGGCCCTCCTAGCAGCCTTCAGAGCTTCATGGTTCACAGTCTGGAAAAACGTGTGCTGAGCTCTGCCTGCCTCTTGCTGTTTCTTGGATGCCTCGCCCTATCCCACTCCTGGCCTGCCTGGTGAAAACCGGTTCATTCTTCACAGAGCAGCTCAGACGCTACGGCCTTTCCTCTTCAGTCGCTCTAACTCACAAGGTTAGATGGTAAAAATAACGAGTATTTTGTAAAGCACTGAGCGTGTGCCCCAGACATTGTTCTAAGCATCTTCCCCGATTTCCTCTATGTGCCAGTAGTATCGCGCTTTTCCTGTATCCTAATAGTTTATGTACGCGTCCGTCTTCCGTATGGGGCTGGGCCTTCCATAAAGGAAAGAAAGGCTCGTGTATCAATTATCTTTCTGTTCCCAGCCTTTAGCACAGGGCTTCACACGTAGAAGGAATCCAGTAGTGGCTGGTAAATGCAGCTGTTTGAAAAACACAGTCGCGGCCGGGCGCGGTGGCTCACGCCTGTAATTCCAGCACTTTGGGAGGCTGAGGCAGGTGGATCACGAGGTCAGGAGATCGAGACCATCCTGGCCAACATGGTGAAACCCCGCCTGTACTAAAAATACAAAAAATTAGCCGGGCTTGGTGGCGGGCGCCAGTAGTCTCAGCTACCAGGAGGCTGAGGCAGGAGAATGGCATCAACCTGGGAGGCGGAGCTTGCAGTGAGCCGAGATCATGCCACTGCACTCCAGCCTGGGCGACAGAGTGAGACTCCGTCTCCAAAAAAAAACAACACCGTCGCTGTTCCCATAGTTGTTTAGTACGTTTGTTTAATATATTAAGAATTAGTTTTTTTGTTTGTTTTCGAGACAGAGTTTCACTCTGTCACCCAGGCTGGAGTGCAGTGGTGCAATCTCAGCTCACTGCAACCTCTGCCTACTGGGTTTAAGTGATTCTCCTGCCTCAGCCTCCCGAGTTCACACCATTCTCCTGCCTCAGCTTCCTGAGTAGCTCGGATTACAGGCGACCGCCACCATACCCGGCTAATTTTTTGTGTTTTTAGTAGAGACGGGGTTTCACTGTGTTGGCCAGGCTGGTCTCGAACTCCCGACCTCAGGTGATCCCCCCGCCCCCGCAGCCTCCCAAAGTGCTGGGATTCCAGGCGTGAGCCCCCGCGCCCGGCCAAGAGTTAATTTTGATGACATAGAATGTGCTGGGAGCTGGTGCCCCAAAGGGAACCACAAGGAGTTTCCCGTATAAATGAGGAATGAAGATGGTATTCTAGTGTGAAAGTAATTATCAGCGAACGACACTAACAGCGCTGTTGAGCTCCCCGCCCAGTGAGACTGATTCCTGGGCTTAAGAGAGAATCTCAGAGTACATAACTCTTACTTCCTACTCTCCAGGTGCTTTCTTCATTGATGGGGAGACGTACATGAAACACGCTTAGAGCAAAGGACGCCTAGCGTGTTCTAAATGACCACAATAGGGGATGTGGTCATGAGCCGGATTGGGAGTCCTGTACGTCGTAGCCTGTGTTGACTTCCTTGAGCACCGTTGTTCTTAAGTCCCTCTGTCACCTGAAATTTCAATAGCTTTTTTGACAACATGTGAGATTGAGTGTCTTAGTATTCACTTTGGGAGCCTGCCTTTTTTTCTGGGCACCTGCATTTCCTTTCTTTTCTTTTCTTTTCTTCTCTTCTCTTCTCCTTTCTTTCTTTCTTTCTCTTTTCTTTTCTTTCTTTTCTTTTTTTTCTTTCTTTTCTGATGGATTCTTACTGTGTCGCCCAGGCTGGAGTGCAGTGGCACGGTCTTGGCACGCTGCAACCTCCACCCCCCCAGGTTCAAGCGATTCTCCAGCCTCAGCCTCCCAGGTACCTGGGATTACAGGTGCACGCCACCACGCCCGGCTAATTTTATATTTTTAGTAGAGACGGGGTTTCACCCTGATAGCCAGGATGGTCTTGATCTCCTGACCTCATGACCCGCCCACCTTGGCTTCCCAAAGTGCTGGGATCACAGGCATGAGCCACTGTGCCCGGCCTAAAAAGCTTTTGAAAGTAGCCAACACCTGTACTCCCAGCACTTTGGGAGGCCGGGGCAGGAGGATAGCTTGAAGCCAGGAGCTTGAGACCCCCTGAGCAACAAAATGAGACCGGGTTCTACAATTTTTTTTTTTTTTTTAATTTACCAGGCATGGTCACATGTGCCTGTAATCCCAGCTACTTGGGAGGCTGAGGTGGTAGGATCACTTGAGCCCAGGGAGTTGGAGGCTGCAGTGAGCTATGATTGCACCACCGTACTCCAGCCTGGGCAACAGAGCAGAATCTTAAAACAAAAACAAAAACACCACAACCAAAACAACAAAAAAACCCTATTTCATTTCACACTAGTCTGATTCGATCTTCTGCTCTTAAGTGTGTAGTGAGGCAAATTAAGACTTTTGAGATAAGAGACCCAGGTTTGAATTCTCTCTGATTTATGATTCAGTGATTTAACCAGGCAGCCTTCAGTGAGTGGCTTATCTCTATGAGTCTGTTTGCTGATCTGCTCAATGGGGTTGTTGATAATAGTATAGAAGATTCTGTTGTGAGGATTAAAAGAGGTAGTATAGCACCCGGCATGGTGGCTGACGCCTGTAATCCCAGTAGGTTGGGAGCCTGAGATGGGAGGATCACCTGAGGTCAGGAGTTCAAGACCAGCCTGGCCAACATGGTGAAACCCTGTCTCTGTTAAACACACAAAAGTTAGCCAGGCATGGTGGCGTGCGCCTGTAATCCCAGCTACCCCAGAGGCCGAGGCACAAGAATCACTTGAACCCGGGAGGCGGAGGTTGCAGTGAGCTGAGATTGTGCCACTGCGCTCCAGCCTGGGTGACAGAGTAAGACTCTGTCTCAGAAAAAAAAAAAAGAAAAAAGGTAGTATATATAAAGCAGTGTTTTATGGTGCTTGACACAAAGTGCTTCACCAATGGTAAATGGTGTTCTATAATTGCACTGTTGATATGTTTCTTTGAAATTGTTCTTTTCTGTAGTCATTTTTGTCTTTTGCGCCAGTAATTTATTTATTCACCTGTAACAGATTCTGGTTTTCTCATGGAGGAGTGTGCAGTAGTGACTGGCTGCCTTTGTGATCCAGGCTTGTGCCTGGGAGCTGCATTAGTCTGTTCTCCCATTGCTGTAAGGACATAACAAGACTGGGTAATTGTTTATTTATTATTTGAGACAGAGTCTCGCTCTGTCACCCAGGCTACAGTGCAGTGGCATGATTGTGATCCAGGCTTGTGCCTGGGAGCTGCATTAGTCTGTTCTCCCATTGCTGTAAGGACATAACAAGACTGGGTAATTGTTTATTTATTATTTGAGACAGAGTCTCGCTCTGTCACCCAGGCTACAGTGCAGTGGCATGATCTCGGCTCACCGCAGCCTCTGCCTCTCGGGTTCAAGCGATTCTCCTGTGTCAGCCTCCCGAGTAGCTGGGATGACAGGTGCCTGCCACCACGCCCGGCTAATTTTTTTATTTTTAGCAGAGGTGGGGTTTCACCATTTTGGCCAGGCTGGTCTCAAACTCCTGACCTCATGATCCACCTCGGCCTCCCAAAGTGCTGGGATTACAGGCGTGAGCCACCGTGCCCGGCTGAGACTGGGTAATTTATAAAGGAAAGAGGTTTAACTGACTCACAGTTTCACAGGGCTGGGGAGGCCTCGGGAAACTTACAATCATGGGGGAAAGGGAAGCAAACACATCCTTCTTCACATGGTGGCAGGAAGGAGAAGGATGAGCAGAAGGGGGACGAGTCCCTTATAAAACCGTCAGGCCTTGTGAGAACTCACTCACTATCATGAGAACAGCAGGAGGGTTACTGCTCCCATGATTCAATGACCATCCACCAGGTCCCTCCCACTACATGTGGGATTATGGGGACTAGAATTCAAGATGAGATTTGGGTGGGTACACAGCCAAACCATGTCAGGAGTGGGCGGCTCAGATGCTGGAAAAAGACCATGATTCTGTCTTGAGCAGCTGATGTTGGAGAAATGGAGGAAGCTGAGACGTGATCATCCTCACCAGAACCCGTGTGTTTCCCCCACTCCCTCACTCACTGTCCTATGTAATTAATGAACTGCTCCTCTTTCCCCCCAGGGAAATGGTTTAAATTAAGGCATAAACATTTTTCCTTAATAAACTGTAGGAGGATATATTTTTTTCATAGGTCTGAGAAGGCCGTTTCCTACCAACCCATTGATATTATCATTATTTATATGCACAAAGCTTCCAGAACTTCACTTTGCCAGACTTTCTAGCTAAGGAGGTCTCAAGAAGATGCTAAAAGAAGCTTCCAGTAAGAAGTTGATATTCACGTTGTATATTCTCAAAGGTCTCTCTGTGACTAGCAAAATATAAGTACAGAAGTACAGAAGGAGACGGAGACTCCTTTTTTTTTTTTTTTTTGGAGACAGTGTCTCTGTCTCCCAGGTTGGAGTACAGTGGTGCGATCTCAGCTCACTGCAACCTCCGTCTCCTGGGTTCAAGCAATTCTCCTGTCTCAGCCTCCCAGGTAGCTGGGATTACAGGCACCCCCCACCACACCTGGCTAATTTTTGTATTTATAGTAGAGATGGGGTTTCATCGTGTTGGCCAGGCTGGTCTCGAACTCCTGATCTCAAGTGATCCACCCTCCTCGGCCTCCCACAGTGCTGGGATTACAGGCGTGAGCCACCCACCTGGCTGAAAGAGATTTCTTATAAAGGATTGGCACACATGGTTATAGAAGCTAAGAAGCCCCAAGAGCTGCAGTTGGCAAGCTGGAGACCCAGGAGAACTGATGGTGTAAGTTCCCGCCAAGTCTGAAGGCAGAGGAAGACGGGTGTCCCAGCTGGAAGACAGTCAGAGAGAATTCTCCCTGTCAGCAGTTTTTTCTATTTAGTTTTTTCTCCTTAGACTTCAGTGGGTTGGATGAGGCCCACCCACACTGGGGAGAGCAGTCTGCTTTATATTCCGAGTCTGCTGATTCAAATGTTGATCTCAGCTGGGTGTGGTGGCTCACACCTGTCATCCCAACACTGGGAGGCCAAGGCGGGTGGATCACCTGAGGTCAGGAGTTCAAGACCAGCCTGGCCAACATGGCAAAAACCCGTCTCTACTAAAAATACAAAAATTAGCTGGACGTGGTGGCAGGCGCCTGTAATCCCAGCTACTTGGGAGGTTGAGGCAGGAGACTCGCTTGAGGCCAGGAGGCAGAGGTTGCAGTGAGCTGAGATTGCACCATCACACTCCAGTCTGGGCAACAAGAGGGAAACTCCGTCTCAAAAAAAAAAAAAAAAAAAAAAAAGATCTCACCCGGAAACATAGTCACAGACACACTCAGGATCATGTTTAATCAAATATCAGGGTACCCTCTAGCTCACTCATGTTGGCACTGAAGATTAAACACCATAGGCTGGTGTTTCCTCAAACACACTCTCTCTCCTTGCCTTTGATTGATGTGTTTCTCTCTTTCTCTCCTTGTCTTTGATTGACGTGTTCCTCTGTCTCCTTGTCGTTGATGTGTTTCTCTCTCTCTCTCCCTCCTTGTCTTTGATTGACATGTTCCTCTGTCTCTCTCCTTGTCTTTGATGTTTCTCTCTCTCTCTCTCTCCTAGTCTTTGATTGACGTGTTCCTCTGTCTCTCTCCTTGTCTTTGATGTGTTCCTCCCTCCCTCCCTCCGTCTCTCTCTCTCTCCCTCTCTCCCCCTCTCTCCCTCCCTCCCTCTCCTCTTGTCTTTGATTCACGGGTTCAGCATCGTGGCCTCTGAGCATTCGGCAGCTTGGCAGAAAGGCCAGGACTCAGTGCAGGAACTCTCCATCATCCCTGGTTCTTCCATTTATGGCTTCAGGCCCTTCTTCCTCATCCTGTTTTAGAATCACAGTCCTCAACTTTTTCATTTTTTATTTTTATTTTTGCCACAGCACACATGGTGTCTGAAATTCCACACATAACATACTTCTCTGGGTTTGTCCAAATTTTGATAATTCCTCCCCCAATCCCTCACCCCCGAGTTTCCCAGGAAATAAAGCAAATAGCACTGCAGATGCTTGGTGATATGTGGTTCATAAAAGCATTTTGCAAGCTTGCGGGTAACTGTTAGGTGTTCATCAGTAACACAGCAGAGCTGGATCAGGGCTGGATAACACATGCCATTCCCAATTAGCTAGTGTAACATCAACATTTTCCATTCAGGGAAACTTATCAAAAGCAAATGCAGCTGGGCGCGGTGGCTCATGCCTGTACCCAGCACTTTGGGAGGCTGAGGCAGGTGGATCACCTGAGGTCAGGAGTTCGAGACCAGCCTGGCCAACATGGTGAAACCCCGTCTCTACTAAAACTACAAAAATTAGCTGGGCATGGTGGCACGTACCTGTAATCCCAGCTACTCGGGAGGCTGAGGCAGGAGAATCATTTGAACCCGGGAGGTGGAGGTTGCTGTGAGCTGAGATCGTGCTGCTGCACTCCAGCCTGGGGGACACGATGAGAATCCATCTCAAAAAAAAAAAAAAAAAAAAAAAGTGAATGCGTATGCTGCGATTTATCACTGGAAAACAGACCATTTACTAACTTCACTAAGTGATATTAGGAATCAATTACTTGTTGGCCTCATCATTGAGGTCACCACAGTGACCAGGTTCTAACCCTGGAGCTTCGGGGTGCCTGGGAGGTTGTATGTACACTCCCTTAGTTCATGGTGGCTGCCAATGTGGCTCCAGAATGAGAGCTGCGAAGATCACCGTGCTTAAAATAAAAGCATAGCCGGGCACGGTGGCTCACGCCTGTAATCCCAGCACTTTGGGAGGCCGAGGTGGGCGGATCACGAGGTCAGGAGATCGAGACCATCCTGGCCAACACAGTGAAACCCCGTCTCTACTAAAAATACAAAAAAAATTTAGCTGGGCGTGATGGCGGGCGCCTGTAGTCCGAGCTACTCGGGAGGCTGAGGCAGGAGAATGGTGTGAACCCGGGAGGCGGAGCTTGTAGTGAACTGAGATCGCACCACTGCACTCCAGCCTGGGCGACAGAGTGAGACTCTGTCTCAAAAATAAATAAATAAATAAATAAATAAAAGCATGTAGCACCAGAAGTGTGAGAGATTCCAAACCATTTGCTCAGAAAGAAAGACTGGGTGGGGTGGATAAGATTCTTTTTTTTTTTTTTTCCAGACAGAGTCTCACTCTGTTGCCCAGGCTTGAATACAGTAGCACAATCGGGGCTCACTGGCACCTCCGCCTTCCAGGCTTAACCAGTCCTCCCACCTCAGCCTCTCAAGTGGCTGGGACTACAGGCACGGGACACCACACCTGGCTAATTATTTGTATTATTACTTTTTTTTTTGTAGAGACAGGGTGTCAGTATATTGTCCAGGCTGGTCTCGAACTCCTGGACTCAAACAATCCTCCCTCCTTGGCCTCCCAAGGTGCTAGGATTACAGGCCTGAGCCACTGAACTCAGCCAGGATTTTTCATTCAACCTGGCCCTTCCCATCCTGTGATGCTCCCTTAGGCCGCCTCACTCTGATCACGTGATAACAGTGAGACAATTCAGGCTCATGAATCACCCACGTCCCACGGTACCTTCAAGGTGCTTGCCCCGTTAGTAACACTCACAGAACCGGAATCTTTCTGGATGAACTTTCCCTTTGCTTCTCTAATCCACGTCCTGCATTCCTGGGCTGGAGAACTGGAATCAGAAAGTGACTGGGGGCCAAATGGAGACTGGAATAATCCCAGGAGAGGCTTGGTGTGGGGTTTCTTGGCCCTGCTGACGTTCTGAGCCAGGTACTTCTTTGCTGTGGGAGGAGCTGTCCTGCGCCTGGTAGAACGTGGACAGCATCCTGGCTTCTACCTACTGTGTCAGTAACACTCCACCCCGCAATGTGACAGCCAGGAACGTTCCCAGGCATTGCTAAATGGCCCGTGGGAAGCACAACCACCCCCCGGTTGAAAACTGCCGGCTTAAGGCAAGCACCAAGCGCCTGGCACCATCCTTTCCTTCCTAAGTACGAGAGCTCTCGCACGCCACCTTTTACTCTGGGCAGCAGGTCAGCGGTTCTTAACCGAGATCAGAGGCAAAGAACTGGTTCCCAGAGAGGCTTGGAGGAGAATTGGCAGGACGTAGCTGTTAACTGTCCGTGGAACACGAACGAGCAGAGGAAGTGAAAAAGAGCGTCAAGATTTTATGACTGACCACGTCCGCCTTCCCTCCTCACTCATTTCTCCAGGGAACTTACAGAACTGGGCTCTGTAATAAGGAGTCTTTCCCGAGTGGGGAGGGCTCCCTGAGTGATTTCATTGAAACCTACATATGTCAGCGATTCTTACAGTATCTTTCTAAAGTATTTAAATGCTGCAGAAATAATACTTAAAGTATGTGGATGTGAACAGGGACACAGGAGCTTTTGCCAATATGGTCCTGTTTGCAGCTCAGGAGCTTTAGAGACCTTCCTTCTTCCACCTCGTAATCTGTGTAGGTTCCTAACCCTGTTGGTCGGAGCAGAGATGTGTCAGGCAGCCCCCCTGGAACCTCAGGTCGCTTGTCGGGGCTCCTGGATCAGAGAGCATGAGCTGGTGCCTGGTGAGTCAGAAGCTGGATCACTCTTGGGTTGGTGTCAGCAGCCAGTTCTGGACGGCCCTCTTAAGCCGTGCTGGCCTTTCGTTCTGGCCTTTGATGTAACCCAGGGTGTGTAAGGGCTGCCTGCCCTTTACAGAGAAACAGATCTGTGCTGGGAAGTTAACAAACAGGAGGCAGGATGTGAGATGAGAGAGAAGGAACTGTCTGGTCAGTGGGGTTCACCCAAGTCTAGAGGTTCATCTGTGTGGAGGGTGGGACTTAATATAAGGCAGGAGGCTTGGGTAGAATCTGCCCCAGCCACCACCTGGCGTCTGCAGTGATAGAAAGCCTGGGAGACCTTCCACCCGGGGCCCTGGGAAGCTCCAACACTCAGCCTCCGTGTTTTCTGTGTCTTTCTCTGGCTGCAGGGATTTCCGAGGTTTCCTTTTTGTGCATCTGGACATTTTCCTTTCTCTGCTCATTTACTTATCCTACAAACACAGGCGGGATGGTGGGCCCGGCCCAGGGTCGGTGCTGGCACTGGGGTGATCACGATGTAGAGAAGGTAGTTTCGACCGGGTGCGGTGGCTCACGCCTGTCATCCCAGCACTTTGGGAGGCCGAGGCGGGCGGATCACGAGGTCAGGAAATCGAGACCATCCTGGCTAACGTGGTGAAACCCCGTCTCTACTAAAAATACAAAAAAATGATCCGGGCGTGGTGGTGGGCGCCTGTTGTCCCAGCTACTCGGGAGGCTGAGGGAGGAGAATGGCGTGAACCCGGGAGGCGGAGGTTGCAGTAAGCAGAGATCGCATCACTGCACTCCAGCCTGGGCGACAGAGCGAGACTCCGTCTCAAAAACAAACAAACAAACAAACAAAAAACCAAAAAAAAAACAAAAAAAGACAAGGTAGTTTCTGTGCTTGGGGAGCGCGAAGGCGTTAAGTCTGCGGGTGAGAGCCGAGGAGGAGCTCCCTCACCCTGCTGGCTGGATGAGAGTTCGAGGGAGATACGGTCAGGGAGTTTCCCAGTGATTCTCATCAAGGAGCTGGAGTCAGGTAAACATTGCTGGGAAGGGTGGCTGGGATAGAGGGAATCCCACGTGTGAAGGCTGGAGGAGAGGGGAATTCCGGGGAAGGGTGGATCGGATAGAGGGAATCCCATGTGTGAAGGACAGAGGAGAGGTGAGTTCTGGGGAATGGTTCCCAGGGAAGCAGCCTGAAGAATGAAGGGAGGGAGATGACTCTGGAACTCTTGCCAGTGTCCAGCTAGGAGATGACCCATGGGACGCCGTACAGGCTCTGCTGGAGCACAACACATGTCCCTGCTGTGTCCCCGGAATAGGTCATGCTCCTGTCACTCTGAAGGTCATTAGTAACAAGGCAGAACAACCACACAGGACCCCCACTTACATCTGAACAGCTTCTGCACACTCTTTGCAAGGTACATTTAAGACTTTTTTTTTTTTTTGAGTTGGAGTCTCATTCTGTCGGCTTACTGCAGCCTCCACCTCCTGGGTTCAAGCGATTCTCATGCCTCAGCCTCCCGAGTAGCTGCGATTACAGCCTCCCGCCACCACACCTGGCTAATTTTTGTATTTTTAGTAGAGATGGGGTCTTGCCATGTTGGCCAGGCTGGTCTCGAACTCCTGACCTCAGGTGTTCCACCTGCCTTGGCCTCCCAAAGTGCTGGGATTACAGGGAAGAGCCACCACGCTGGCCTGTTTAGACTTTTCAATCTTCCACGTGTTAAACTGTCTATTTTTCTCTTATTAACCACAAGTTTGGGATTCTTCAGAGGCCAAACTACTGTTCTCCCAGGCTTTGAGAAAAAACTTTTCGTGTCATTTAGCTACATAGTTTTGCTGAACTTCTCCTTCAACAACAGGAAAGCATATGTTGGTAGCTGGGCAAGCCCTACTCTGAGCATAATCTTAAGGGACTGGCAAGAATTCCCTGGAGAACCCCGAGAACTTGCTGACCATGCTGGAGAATTCCCCGGAGAACCCCGAGAACTTGCTGACCAAGCTGGAGGATTCCCCGGAGAACCCCGAGAACTTGCTGACCATGCTGGAGGATTCCCCGGAGAACCCCGAGAACTTGCTGACCAAGCTGGAGGATTCCCCGGAGAACCCCGAGAACTTGCTGACCAAGCTGGAGGATTCCCCGGAGAACCCCGAGAACTTGCTGACCATGCTGGAGGATTCCCCGGAGAACCCCGAGAACTTGCTGACCAAGCTGGAGGATTCCCCGGAGAACCCCGAGAACTTGCTGACCAAGCTGGAGGATTCCCCGGAGAACCCCGAGAACTTGCTGACCAAGCTGGAGGATTCCCCGGAGAACCCCGAGAACTTGCTGACCAAGCTGGAGAATTCCCCGGAGAACCCCGAGAACTTGCTGACCAAGCTGGCATCAGTTTTCTTTCCTGGGAACTGTTTCCACTCACATGTTCTGACCCGCAGCCTGAGGCTGGCACCAGCTGAGGGTTTGCAGTATTTGAATGTTGGCCTTGCCCTGACCCATGCTCAAATCATTTGTTTCACTAAGAATATGTATTTTCAGATCACAAACCAGATTAGTCCACATCTAGCAGTTTAATTGCTGATTCAGTTAAAAAGTCCTTGCTTGATAGGGTCTGGGCTGAAATTGAACAACGTTAGAGGCTGCCAGGACTTTTTCTTTCTTTATAAAAGCAGAACTCCATGCACGTACTTAAAACAGGTACATGGTACTGAAGGGTGTTACTGAGGTACAACTCCTCACCTATCCTCTCTCTTAAGGTTCATTTATCTATTTATTGAGATGGGGTCTCTGTCGCCCAGGCTGGAGGGCAATGACGCGATCTCAGCTCACTGCATGCTCCGCCTCCTGGGTACAAGGGTTCTCCTGCCTCAGCCTCCCGAGTACCTGAGACTACAGGCGCCCGCCACCAACTTTTGTATTTTTTGTAGAGACAGCGTTTCACCATGTTGCCCAGGCTGATCTTGAACTCTTCAGTGCAGGTGATCCTCCTGCCTCGGCCTCTCAAAGTGCTGGTATTACAGGTGTGAGCCACTGCGCCCAGCCTTAAGTTTCTTATATACATCCTTCTGAAATATCTTCTGTGCATTTATACATGTATGTGACGGGTATTGTCTGTTCTATTTACAAAAGAAACGTCTGATTTAAAAAAAAAAATCTAATATCTTGCCAGTCTCTTCCTATCGGCATAGCCGACCTGCTTTAATTGTTGCAATAACAGCATTGTATTCTATTGAATATATAGAGCGTAATTTACTTGCCCACTGCCTGATAAATGGATATTTCACTCCTTCCTTCTCCTTTTGCTGTAGCAAATAATACTATGATAAACATTGTCGCACACACTTTTTTTTCTTTTTTTTTGAGATAGAGTCTTGCTCTGTCGCCCAGGCTGGAGTGCAATGCCGCGATCTTAGCTCACTGCAACCTCCACCTCCCGGGTTCAAGCGATTCTCCTGCCTCAGCCTCCTGAGTAGCTGGGATTACAGGCATGTGCTACCACGCTCGGCTAATTTTGTATTTTTAGTAGAGATGGGGTTTCTCCATGTTGGTCAGGCTGGTCTCGAACTCCTGACCTCAAGTGATCTGCCCACCTCGGCCTCCCAAAGTGCTGGGATTACAGGCGTGAGCCACTGCGCCCAGCAACATTGTTGCACATCTATCTCTGCACACTTCACACATGCATATCTGTGAATTGGAATTGCTAAGCCAAAGAATAATGGACATTATTGACTTCTGTAGACATTGCCAAGGTCCTTCTTGGAGGGGAGAGACTGTCATTGCTTTATAGAAAATGTGTAACTCGGCCGGGCGTGGTGGCTCATGCCTGTAATACCAGCACTGTGGGAGGCCGAGGTGGGCGGATCACCTGAGGTCATGAGTTCGAGACCAGCCTGACCAACATGGAGAAACTCCGTCTCTCCTAAAAATACAAAATCAGCCGGGCGTGGTGGTGCATGCCTGTAATCCCAGCTATGCAGGAGGCTGAGGCAGGAGAATCACTTGAATCCAGGAGGCAGAGGTTGCGGTGAGCCAAGATCGTGCCATTGCACTCCAGCCTGGGTGACAGAGGGAGACTCTGTCTCAAAAAAAAAAGTGTAACTCCAGCTTTTGTCAGCCAGCCTGTAATACCAATAGTTTCCCTTGCCCAGAAAACATTGCTACCTAATACAGAGGATATCACCCAATGCGCTTCCACTGAAGGAGCACAGGGAGGGGAGATGGACAATATCGAGCGAGAAAGATGACTTCTGGGAGTTGTGCTTTTCTCCTCTGTTCAATCAGTGTGGACGAGATGATCTGTTTAGTCCCATCTCCTGATTTTACATAAACCAGGCGTGGTTCTAGTTCCGAGATCCAGGAGCCTGACTGCCAGGACAGCTTAAGCAGGAGGTAAATTCTAGAATCTGCCCTTTAGTTTCTGGATTCTTTATCTTTTCATCCGTGTTGAATGAGAGAGAAGGGTTCAGGGCATCTGGCCCTTCCTTGGGCAGCAGACTGACAGAACACCGCCTGGGTTGCCTCCGTTTTCAGGAGATTTGCAGCAGCTTCCTTAACTTTACCCACCTCTGCCCCTTTAATGCCAAACACATTCCTTAGAGGTCCGTTAATTAGAGGAGCCTCAGAGTGAGCAGTGGGGTCATGATGGTTTCTCTTATAATCAGGTTGGAAAGGATCTCAGGGTGAGTCTGGTAAAAAGCCTTCTGAAATGTTAGACCAGAGAATTATCTGGAGAGGGAGGAAATGCAGGGCAAGTTCCTGCAAAGCCTCACACTCATGTTGGTCTCACCGATGTTTATCAGGGAGAAACAGCCTGTACTCCCAGGGCAGCCGTTTGAACGGGCAGAGCCCACTTTGTTCCTCGATTCTGTTTCTTTCCATGCAATCCGCCCTCCTGACCTAATACCGTTGAGGCTGGTGTCTTGTCCCATGGGACATGGAACTAGGGAACACAGATGGATCTAAGCTAGCACTCCCCTACGTTTTGGCAAATTTAAGAATCAACACTCTGAAGAACCGTGGTTTTGATTCCCTGAGAAGGAAATGGATTAAGACTTACTCTCCCTACTCCGAACTTTTTATCTTGGGAAATTTCAGACCTACAGAAAAGTTGAAGACAAGTACCATGAATGCCCATCCTGTGCCCTTCACCGGAACCGAGCAACGGCAGACGCGTCCCTTCACCGGAACCGAGCAACGGTGAACGTGCCCCTTCACCGGAAGTGAGCAACGGTAAACGTGCCCCTTCACCGGAACCGAGCAACGGTAACTGTGCCCCTTCACCGGAACCGAGCAATGGCAGACGTGTCCCTTCACCGGAACCCAGCAACGGTAACTGTGTCCTTTCACCGAAACTGAGCAATGGTTAACGTGTTTCCTCACTCAGTTCCCAGGCATTGCTGCTGCTGATCTGGGGAACACACTGTATGAGCCTGACATAAACCTCTACAGAGCTCTGTGTAAGCAGTGGGTATGTTTTTTCCCTGAAGGACAGTTGATCCTTGAATGACGTGGATTTGAATTGCAAGGGTCCATTTGTATGTGGACTTTTTTCAACCAGATGTGAATCAAAAATACAGTGTCAGCCAGGTGCAGAGGCTCACACCTGTAATCCCACCACTATGGGAGGTTGAGGCAGGAGGATTGCATCAGCCCAGGAGTTCAAGACCAGCGTGGGCAACATAGAGAGACCCCCATCTCTACAAATAATATTAAAAATTATCTGGGCATGGAGGCATGCTCCTGTGGTCCCAGCTACTCAGGAGGCTGAGTCAGGAGGATCGCTTGAGCCAGGGAGGTTGAGGCGGCAGTGAGATGTGATTGTACCACTGCTCTCCAGCCTGGGGGACAGAGCGAGACCCTGTCTCAAAACAAAACACGGCTGAGCGTGGTGGCTCACACCTGTAATCCCAGCACTTCGGGAGGCTGAGGCGGGCTGATCATGAGGTCAGGAGATCGAGACCATCCTGGCTCACACGGTGAAACCCCGTCTCTACTAAAAATACAAAAAATTAGCTGGGCGTGGTGGCGGGCACCTGTAGTTCCAGCTACTCAGGAGGCTGAGGTAGGAGAATCACTTGAACCCAGGTGGAGGTTGCAGTGAGCTGAGATCGCGCCACTGCACTCCAGCCCAGGTGACAGAGTGAGACTCTGTCTCAAAAAAACAAAGAAGACAGAACAGTATTCGCAGGATGTGAAACCCATGTATGCAGAGGCTGGTTTTTCCTACACTCAGGCTCTGCTGGGCTGATTGTGGGACTTCAGTATATGCGGATTTTGGAATATGTGGGGGTCCCAGAACCAATCCCCTGAGTATACTGTGGGGCATTTGAAAATAGATTATATTTATCATGATATTTCATTCCTAAACCTTCATTATCTCCTAAAAACAAGGGTGTTCTCTTCCTAGCAATAATACCGTTATCATACCCAAGAAATGTAGCATTGATACGTTTAGAGCATAGGTCTGTTGTCTTGCAGAATTTTCCAGAGTCTGAATTTGTCAAATGGTTCCCTCGTGATTACATCCAGGCCAAACATTTCTGGCAGGAATGCCGCAGAGCTCCTGTTGCATCTCACCAGGAGCCACATCATAGTTCCGTCCTGTTATTGATGATGCTGAGGTTAAACATTTGGTTGAGCTAATGTCTGCCAGATCACTCTACTTTGTAAAGGTAGTTTCTCCTTTGTAACTAACGAGCAGTAAGTGGTGTGATACTTTAGGACCGTAGGAATGTTCTCCTCCCAGTAACTTGTTACCCAGTGGCTTCACATCCACTGATATGTGATGATTCTTTCATGAATCTGTTTTATTTGTTTTAAGAGACAGGGTCTTGCCCCATCACCCAGGCTGGGTTGCAGTGGCAGAATCATAGCTCGCTGTAGCCTCTAACTCCTGGATTCAAGCGATCCTCCCTCCTCAGCCTCCTGAGTAGCTGGGACTACAGGCATGGGCCACCACACCCACCTAAGTTTTATTTTTATGTTTATGTTTTTGAGATGGGGTCTTACTATGTTGCCGAAGCTGATCCCGAATTCCTGGTCTCAAGGGAGCCTCCCACCCTGGCCTCCCAAAGCTCTGGGATTACAGGTGTGAGCCACCGTGCCTGGCCTCCTGAATCTGTTTCTACATTGATTATTGCAGAATCCTGGGCTTTAAATTGTCACTCCTTCTACATTTATTACCTCACATTCCTTTATGAAGAGCCCCTCATTGGCTGAACACGGTGGCTCACGCCTGTAATCCCAGCACTTTGGGAGACTGAGGCTGGTAGATCGCTTGAGCTCAGGAGTTCGAGACCAGCCTGGGAAACGTGGTGAAACCCCGTCTCCATCAAAAATACAAAACATTAGCCAAGTATGGTGGTTCATGCCTGTAATCCCAGCTACTTGGGAGGCTGAGGTGAGAGGATTGCTTGAGCCCAGGAGACAGAGGTTGCAGTGAGCTGAGATCATGCCACTGCACTCCAGCCTGGGCGACAGAGCAAGACTGTCTCAATTTAAAAGAAAAAACAAAAAAAGAGCCCCTCATGTTCTTCCACTCCATTTTTTAGTATCATTTCAGACTCATGGATTAAAAAAAAAAAAATCTATTGCTGTAGCTTATTAAATTCACTATTTTTTACCGTATCCCAAATTTGGTAAGTAGGAGTCTTTTCAAGATGGCTCTTGAGTCTTTTAACATGTTCCCAGCATCGTGTAAGCATTTGCTTGCTTTTCTGGCACTCAGTGAGACGTTCAGGCTCAGCTTGGCCTCTCCCTCCCCTAGTCTTGGAATCAGCTCTTCCTCTGAGAAATCCTCCTTCCCTTTGGTGGAGGGATGGTCCTTAGAAACCAACATCTGGTCATGAAGTGTGTTCCTTGCTGGGCCTCTCACTGCCTCTAGCCACTTTCAATAGAAAGAGCAAAGAATGGTCAGGCGCGGCGGCTCACGCCTGTAATCCCAGCACTGTGGGAGGCCGAGGTGGGCGGATCACCTGAGTTCAGGAGTTCAAGACCAGCCTGGCCAACATGGTGAAACCCCGTCTCTACTAAAAACAGAAAAATTAGCCGAGCATAGTGGCACTTGTTTGTAACCCCAGCTACTCAGGAGGCCGAGCCACACAAATCACTTGAACCCAGGAGGCGGAGGTTGCAGTGAGCCGAGATGGTGCCACTGCATTCCAGCGCAGGCGACAGAGTGAAACTGTGTCTCAAAAAAAAGAAAGAGCTGAGAAATTTAAATGTGTTTTAAAATCTTGAGTTGATACTGATATGTTGCACTCAGAACCAGCTGCCCAGGGCCCTTCCTTACTTCCCCAGTCCGTATCTGTGTTCCTCTCATCCCACTGTGATAACCTTGTTTACAGATTTGCAACATCCGTAATCATGGCCAGCAGTGATCCTAACAAGTCAAGTTCAAACTTTCTTTTCAGTTCTTTTTGTCCTTAGATCACATCCAAGAAAGGAGGAATAGTCAGAGAGCTAGATCCAAAAGTCACTTAAATTATTTGCCTTTTTGTCTAGATAGGTAATAGTTACTATTAGAGTTAGGGTCACATGTTTCTGCTCATATTAAACTTTAGGATTTGCTGTTTGCTCCTACTTTTGACTTGATTTTATTCTTTTAGTAAAAGTAAAATGTTTACGAGGTTCAAAAGTCAAAACTATGCAGGCCGGGCGCGGCGGCTCACGCCTGTCATCCCAGCACTTTGGGAGGCCAAGGTGGGTGGATCACCTGAGGTCAGGAGTTCAAGACCAGCCTGGCCAGGATGGCGAAACCCTGTCTCTATGGAAAATACAAAAATTAGCCGGGCGCGGTGGCTCACGCCTGTCATCCCAGCACTTTGGGAGGCCAAGGTGGGTGGATCACCTGAGGTCAGGAGTTCAAGACCAGCCTGGCCAGGATGGCGAAACCCTGTCTCTATGGAAAATACAAAAATTAGCCGGGCGCGGTGGCTCACGCCTGTCATCCCAGCACTTTGGGAGGCCAAGGTGGGTGGATCACCTGAGGTCAGGAGTTCAAGACCAGCCTGGCCAGGATGGCGAAACCCTGTCTCTATGGAAAATACAAAAATTAGCCGGGCGCGGCGGCACACGCCTGTCATCCCAGCTACTCAGGAGGCTGAGGCAGGAGAATCACTTGAACCCAGGAGGCGGAGGTTGCAGTGAGCTGAGATCAGGTCACTGCCCTCCAACCTAGGCAACAGAGCAAGACTATGTCTTAAATAATAATAATAATAATAATAAATTTTTTAAAGTTAAAAGTATATAACATAATATACAAAGAGAAGGCTCACTTTCACTGCCGGGAGTGAGCGTTTTCCTTAGCTTCTGACTCACCCTTTCCAACTTCCTTACTGCAGAAGTAACCCACACCTCTCTGCCCTGGGCCCTTTGCTTGATGCTTACAAAGGAAGGGTCTGAGATGCTGGTTCTCAGGATCGGCTATGACCAGAGGAGACACATTAGAACAGATTGGAGTTCCTGCTCTTCCCTCTGTTAATTTGCTCGGTTTTGCCTGTTGTTTAGTCACCTATGAAAAGTCAGAGTACCCCGTGGAGGACAGGGAAGGGGTGTCTGGAACGGCCTGAGGGCCAGGCCTTTCAGAGAGAAGGAAGCAGCCTGAGTTTGGTTTGGATGGTCCATTGAATCGCGTTTGATGGGAGTGGAGCTGACTGTGGTGTCCCCAGAGCAGATCTGGGATCCGTGAAACAGGTCGTGACAGAGCAGATCAGTTGTTTCTCTGGCAGGCCCGTCCGTGCAGCTGTTGTTTTGTATTTGAGTAGTTTGCGTTTCCCTTTCCTTTTCATACAAGATTATCTGGTCCTAATCCCCTCCCTCCTGCATAAGGGTTGCTGGGAACCATTTTTTTTTCTTTTGAATAAACGTCTTGGGGAAGTCAACTTTTCACATTTGTTGTTGTTCTTTACTTGACATTAAGGAGCTTTTATAAGCAATTAAAACTAGGAGAAAACCCAAACCAAAAATTTCCCCTAAACTCCCCGTGACCTCAGTCGGAATCGCTCCAGTATTCCTGGTCTTAACTCCTTTGGTGAATTTAGAGAGCGACTCTTTATTCCACTTCCAAACGACCGCTTTGAACTATCGGTCAGCGTGGATAAACACATCTCAGGGAGGGGGCCCATGAAATATGGTTGTGGGCTCAGACTGAGAAGGCCTCATTTTCAAACTAGAGCTGGACGGGAAACTGCATCTGAAAGTATTTCCTGGAATAGCTTGCTCCGTTTCTTGAGTGGCAAGTTTTTTTGGTAAAGATACTCTCCCAGACAGTGGAGGTGCCATGGCCTTCGAACCAGATCCTTCCAATAGTAAATCATGTTGTCAGTTCCTCCTTGGTGGATGGGATCCATTTGTATCATGCCAGAGAGCCTTCAAAGTAGGGTCAAGAAACCCAGAAAATTGGCCCCTGCCTGCTCTTGGCTGGCTATGGGATAGAAAGAGAAGCCTGAGGGCAATCGAGCAAATTAACAGAGTGAGGGAAGAGCAGGAACTCCAATCTGTTCTAACAAGTTTCCTCTGGTCATAGCTGATCCTGAGAACCAGCATCTCAGACCCTTCGTGTGTAAGCCGTAGGGCTGTTTTCTTTTTTTCTTTCTTTCTTTCTTTTTTTTTTTTGAGACGGAGTCTCGCTCTGTCACCCAGGCTGGAGTGCAGTGGCGCGATCTTGTCTCACTGCAACCTCCGCCTCCCAGGTTCACACACAGGCTGCTGTCTCAGCCTCCCCAGCAGCTGGGACTACAGGCGCCCGCCACCATGCCAGGCTAATTTTTTTGTATTTTTAGTAGAGATGGGGTTTCACCGTGTTAGCCAGGATGGTCTCGATCTCCTGACCTCGTGATCTACCAGCCTCAGCCTCCCAAAGTGCTGAGATTACAGGCGTGAGCCACCGCGCCCAGCCTGTAGGGCTGTTTTCTATAGCTCAGCCGTCCAGTATCACCTTTGTGGTTCTTTCATGTCAATACCAGCTATATTACCATTTACTTACATTTTTCTTTAAATATACTCATTTTAAAAATTTAGATTTAGGCTGGACGTGGTGGCTCATGCCTGTAATCCCAGCACTTTGGGAGGCCAAGGCGGGTGGATCCCTGGAACTCAGGAGTTCAAGACCAGCCTGGCCAACATGGCAAAACCTCATCTCTATAGAAAAAATACAAAAATTAGCCGCAACATGGTGAAACGTCGTCTCTACACAAAAATACAAAAGTTAGCCAGGTGTGGTGGTGCATACCTGTGACCCCATTACTCGGGAGGCTGGGGTGGGAGGATCACTTGAGCCTGGGAGGTCGAGGCTGCAGTGAGCCAAGATTGCGCCACTGCACTCCAGCCTGGGGCGACAGAGCGAGACCCCATCTCAAAAAAAAAAAAAAAAGATTTATATCTTTGGTTAAAAAGGAAGATGAGCAGGTGTTAGAGAAACGTTAGTAATTTATTGACATCAAAGCAAGACTCTTCTCTTAAAGTAATTGGAAGGACCGAAAGAAAACTACAAAAGGAATAACCTTCTCACTCTTCTATTCAGTGTTATTTAGTGAGGGATACTCGTGCCACCTAGAGGAGGTCTCTACCAGGTATCGGTGAAGAATTCCACTTAGAGGATGCTTGCCCCCTGCCCTATTTTGATGGCCCTGGTGATATCTGGGATGGTGGTGACCATTGAGAAAGAGAGCTACAGCTTTTATGCTCAGCTTTTTAGAATATTCTTGAAAACTGAAGGTTTCACGGTAGTTTTAGGTATGTCTTAAACAAATCCTTAACTTCAGCTTTAGAATAGTTGGTGTTTAGGCTGGGTGTGGTGTCTCACACCTGTAATCCCAGCACTTTGGGAGCCAAGGCAGGCAGATCATCTGAGGGCAGGAGTTCGAGACCAGCCTGGCCAACATGGCAAAACCCCGTCTCTACTAAAAATACAAAAATGATCTGGGTGTGGTGGTGCGTGCCTGTAGTCCCAGCTACTCGGTAGGCTGAGGCAGGAGAATCCCTTGAGCCCAGGAGGCGGAGGTTCCAGTGAGCTGAGATCACACCATTGCCCTCCAGCCTGGGCGACAGAGCGAGACTCCGTCTCATAAAAAAAAAAGAAAGAAAAAAGAAAAGGTCCAAGACAGACCACGTCCACCATGTGAGGATACAGCAAGAAGGCGCCATCTGTGAGGATCATGCCCTCACCAGACACTGAGTCCACTGGTGCCCTGACTTTCGACTTCCACCCACCACAACTGAGAGAAAGAAACTTTTGTGTTCCTAAGCCACACAGTCTGCACTGTCCTATTGTAGCAGCTTGAATGGATTCAGACAGAAATAAATTGGTACCGAGAAGTGGGGGTGCTGCTGTAACTGATACCTGAAGTGGTGGGAGTAGCTCTGGAACTGGGTGACGTGTAGAAGTCGGAAGAGTTTTGAGGTTCATGATGGAAAAGGCCTACGTTGCCCTGAACAGAATGTGAAAGGCAGTTCCGGGGAGGGCTCAGAAAGAAAAGAGGAGAGCTGTAGAGAAAGCCTCAGCTGTCTTGGAGAAAACCTAGGCAGTGTGAACAGGATACTGGTAGAAATGTGAACAGTAGGCTGGGCGTGGCCGGCGGCTCACTCCTGTAATCCCGGCACTTTGGGAGGAGGATCACCTGTGGCCAGGAGTTCAAGACCAGCCTGACCAACATGGAGAAACCCCGTCTCTACTAAAAATAGGAAATTAGCTGAGCATGGTGGTGGGTGCCTGTAATCCCAGCTACTCGGGAGGCTGAGGCAGGAGACTCACTTGAACCCGGGAGGCGGAGGTTGCGGTGAGCCGAGATTGCACCACTGCACTCCAGCCTGGGCGACAGAGCAAGACTCAGTCTCAAAAAAAAAAAAAAAAAAAAAGACAAGTACTTAGCAAGACCAGTGGAGCCCTACTTTATCCACAGACTCCCGTTGTAAAGCATGCCCTGCAGTGACTTAAGACTCATCTCCTAGCGGAAGACATCCAGCCAGAGTCCCAGAGGGAAAGACCTCCATGAGCAAGTTTTCCTGTGGAGTTTGTTTTGTGTTTGCAGAGGCTTTGACTTTAGAATGTCCGTCTCCTCTTACTCAGGGTTTTAGGCTTTTTCTGTCCTCGGCCATGATGCAAAATATTTTTGGCAAATGCAAGGAGAGATCAGACCCTCTTTTTTTTTTTTGAGACGGAGTCTCACTTTGTTGCCAGGCTGGAGTGCAGTGGCGCGACCTTGGCTCACTGCAACCTCCACCTCCCGGGTTCAAGCGATTCTCCTGCCTCAGCCTCCAGAGTAGCTGGGATTATAGGCGTGTGCCACCACGCCCAGCTAATTTTTATATTTTTAGTAGAGACAGGGTTTCACCATGTTGGCCAGGATGGTCTTGATCTCCTGACCTCGTGATCTGCCCGTCTAGGCCTCCCAAAGTGCTGGGATTACAGGTGCGAGCCACGGCACCCGGCCTAGATTGGACCCTCTTATCTTCATCTCCCCCAGGGGCCGGCTGTGGAGTTGCCTGTCCCATGACAGGAATCATTTTCTGCTGGTTTTGATTGAGTTCCCTGGCACACTGGATAGAGTTTGTTGTAACACACACATTCCTCCTGCCAAGGTACACAGAGTCTTTAGACTCAGAGGCTTGTTTTATGATTTTTTCCCCTAAACTTAATTTATTCTACATATCCCATGGCAGAGCTAAACATTTGTGGGTATCTGGCTGCCAGAACTGGTGGATCAGATGGGACCTTGCCTGTACTTGCTGGAGAATGGGAGGACTGCTTCCTTCTGGGGTGTATTTTCAGAGAGAGAGAGTTCTGCTAATTCAAACAAAACTTTTCAACAAACCTGTTCGTGAATAGAACTTAAGAGATAAATCTGGGGGAAATTTTACCCACATTTTGATCCTGGGGAGCAGTCAAGTTTTTACTAGCCGCAAAGAAGATATCTTGGATTGGGTGGAAAACATTTACTTCCCTCTGCTTGTAACCCTGAGCAAAGCTGTCCTGGAGCCCCTTGGGCGCTATCAGACCCGGGGGATTCAAAGGCTGCCTCTCTTCTTATTCTTTGTTAGTATATGAGAATTATTTATGTATTTATTTGAGATAACGTCTCGCTCTGTAGCTCAAGCTGGAATGCAGTGGCGTGATCAGAGCTCACTGCAGCCTCAAAAACTCCTAGGCTCAAGTGATCCTCCCTTCTCAGCCTCCCAGTTATCTGGGACTACCGGTTTGCTCCACCACACCCAGCTAATGTTTTACTTTTTGTAGAGATGGGGTCTTGCTATGTTGCCCAGGCTGGTCTCAAACTCTTGTGCTCAATTGACCCTCCCGCCTTGGCCTCCCAAAGTGCTTGTAGTTATAGGTGTGAGCCTCTGCACTCAGCTTCTATATAAAAAATTTTAAAGTCTTTTTTTTTTTTGAGACGGAGTCTCACTCTGTTGCCCAGGCTGGAGTGCAGTAGTGTGATCTTGGCTCACTGCAACCTCCGCCTCCTGGGTTCAAGCAATTCTCCTGCCTCAGTCTCCCGAGTAGCTGGAACTACAGGTGCCTGCGGCCACATCCAGCTAATTTTTGTATTTTTAGTAGAGACGGGGTTTCACCATGTTGGCTAGGCTGGTCTCAAATTCCTTACCTCAGGTGATCCATCTTCCTCGGCCTCCCAAAGTGCTGGGATTACAGGCGTGAGCCACCGTGCCCGGCTGCAATTTTTTTTTTTTTTTTTTGAGACAGAGTCTCGCTCTGTCGCCCAGGCTGGAGTGCAGTGGTGCAATCTCAGCTCACTGCAAGCTCCTCCTCTCGGGTTCATGCCATTCTCCTGCCTCAGCCTCCCAAGTAGCTGGGACTACAGGTGCCCGCCACCACGCCTGGCTAATTTTTTGTATTTTTTTTTTTTAGTAGAGACAGGGTTTCACCGTGTTAGCCAGGATGGTCTCAGTCTCCTGACCTTGTGATCCGCCCGCCTCAGCCTCCCAAAGTGCTGGGATGACAGGCGTGAGCCACCGCTCCCGGCTGAAATTTTAAACTCTTAAATCTCCACTCAGGTGAGCAGGTGGGATCGTTCTATATCTGTCTAACTGAAAAATATTCTAGCGGCAGGATCTTTCCTTCGAAGTACCTGCTTTCAGGTGTCCAGAAAACCTTAGTGAGAAGAGCGAGTACGGTGGGAAGCGGGAATTAGAAGCAGCTATTCCAGATTCATTCGTTTAATCCACAGATATTTTTACTGCAAGCCTACTTTGTGCCATGCCTGATGCCAGAAGCAGAGTGAGCTAAGTATCTCCCTGGCCTCGTGGAGCTTTGTAGTCCAGTGGGGGGACACACATGATTCAACAAGTCACACAACTACAGAATGGAAATTGGCCGGGCGCAGTGGCTCACGCCTGTTATCCCAGCACTTTGGGAGGCCGAGGTGGGTGGATCAGGAGGTCAGGAGATCAAGACCATCCTGGCTAACATGGAGAAACCCCGTGTCTAATAAAAATGCAAAACTTAGCCGTGTGGTGGCGGGTGCCTGTAATCCCAGCTACTTGGGAGGCTGGGGCAGGAGAATCACTTGAACCCGGGGAGGCAGAGGTTGCAGTGAGCCGAGATCGCACCACTGCACTCCAGCCTGGGCGACAGAGTGAGACTCCGTCTTGGAAAAAAAAAAAAAAATATATATATATATATATATATGTGTATAACAGAAATAGTGAGAAGTACTGTAAAGGAAGAGTACTAGGGCTTGGACATGTATACAGCACCTGGTCTAAACTTGGGAGGGAGGTCCTGGGCAGAGAAGGCTCCCCCGAAGAGCTGATGTTTGACCTCATATCTGCAGGGTGAGGAAGAATTAGCTGGGGCGAGGGACACACAGTAAGGACAGAGGGACACCCTGTGGGAAAGAGACTTCAGTGGGCCTGAGTTACCTGAGAGCTTTCTTTTTTCTTTTAGGCAGAGTCTCACTCTGTCAGCCAGGTTAGAAGGCAGTGGCGTGATCTCGGCTCACTGTAACATGCGCCTCCCAGGTTCAAGCGATTCTCCTGCCTCCACCTCCCGAGTAGCTGGGACTACAGGCGTGCGTGCACCACCACACCCGGCTAATTTTTGTATTTTTGGTAGAGACGAGGTTTCACCGTGCTGGCCAGGCTGGTCTCAAACTCCTGACCTCAGGTGATCCACGCCTCCCAAAGTACCGGGATTCCAGGCGTGAGCCACCGTGCCCGGCTGGGAATTTTCTTAACATTTATGTTTTTAGCCGGGCATGGTGGTGGGCGCCTGTGGTCCCAACTACTCAGGAGGCTGAAGCAGGAGAATCGCTTGAACCCAGGGGGTGGAGCTTGCAGTGAGCTGAGATTGCGCCATTGCACTCCAGCCTGGGTGATAAAGTGAGACTCTGTCTCAAAAAAAAAAAGAAAAAATTTACACTTTAGGTCTCATCCCCTGGGTCAGATCCAGTGGGTCAGAGGTGGGGCCTGGAAATCTGCATGAGTCCCTGGGACTCTGAGGTGTCCTGGGGAAATAGGCATCCTGGGGAAACAGTGGTCCTGAGGAAATGCTGCATTAAACACTTCTGGTCAAGCTCTTTCTTCCCAATTTGCGATTTGTGCTGGAGGGAGCTCCAGGCCTCCTTTGTAAGGACAGGACGGTTAGGCTTGGCATACGCATAATCCCAACCGTGCAGGGGGACCTGGCCCCACTCTATAGCCCGGGCTGACTCAGAGAGCAGACGGGGGTCCTGCCTCCCTCCTCCACCCACCCAGCCCTACTTTCTGCTCCATATCCGCTTCCAGGAGCCCCGTATCCAAATCCAACACCAACTCGGAGCTCTGGGAGCTGGAAAGGAAAGGAAGTGTTGGGTTTTCTTTTTTCCCCTCCCCTGAAATTTTCTGGACGTCAGTATGGACATTCAGAGGCAAGTCTGTCTACATAATCCATCCTGACTTTTTCTGGAGGTAGAAAGGAGAGAGAAAACAGGGTTGAGTTTGGGGAGCAAGATGCCAGCTGTGGGCACGGGGGGTCCCAGGGATCCTGTGGCCCACGTCCTGGTCAGTGGGGAGCTTAATGAGGTTCCCTGCTGGAGACGCCCCGACTGAGGCTGTGGCTGAGGCTGAGGCTGAGGCTGTGGCTGAGGCAGGTTCTCGCTGATGGGACTTGTGAGGAGGTGTCATCCGGATGCCCCCGGATGGCAGAAGAGCTGGGACTAAGCCAGCAGGGATTGCTGTTTGGCCAAGAGCCTTCTAGAGGCTGCGGGGCCTTGGCCGGCATGCAGGGATAAGCCAGGGCCACAGGATTCTAGCTCCCTTTTCTCACTGCTGCCTCCGTTGGCACAGGACCTGAGGGATTAGGGTGGCAGGGCCGTTCCTGAGACTGGCGCCCCTAATTGAGCTACAGCGTGCTTTTTCCAGCTTTTTCCACTCTCCATTTCAAGTCTCTGGTTAGATCAGGAGAAAGTCTCGCTGTGGCGCCATCTTTAAACCACTGGAAAACTTGCTAATCTCCCTTCCATAGAGAAAGCCGACCTCCGCTTTCCGCAGGCAACGCGAGACAGATCACTTGTAATAATGGCTTGTTCTTTGTTCTTTTCATTTTGACACTTAGCCTCTATTTATGGCGAGTGGTGCTGGTTCTCCACTTACAATAGCAATATAAAGTTTCCTTTCAAAATAATTTTTTGAAGGAGTCTATTCAAAGCAAAATAAGTAAATAAGCATCGGAGTGAGGAGGGCGCAAATTGTAAATGATACATGTGGACGCCTGAGCTTGGAAACTGGGTGCTGGGAGCAGCCATCTGGATTTCACATCTGGCTTCATCATAGCAAGCCTATGAGGCAAGCACTGGTTTCTCCCAGTGTGCAGCGGAAGTAGCTTCTCAAAGAGGTGAAGGGATGTTCCCAGCCTGGCTGACTTTGCCACCCTGCTCTTTCCACCTGCCCTTTCTTGTGGCCGGCGGACACAGTGACCTCAGATTCATTCTGTAGCCCCTCAGCCCCTCTGCTTCCCGTCCCCCGCTCATGCCTTCTAAGCATCTTCTCTCCCGTCTGCAGCCCAAGGCTGCCCCTGGGAGCAGGCAGAGGCTTGCGCTGTCTTTTGTCCTGGCGTCTTCATTTCAGCCGGGGAACTTTGGGTGGAGCTGGAGCCAAGTGGCAAGCGGAGCTCAGGCTTGCTGGGCCCCGGCCTCCCCACCGCATCCCCCGGCTTTTGGACACAGACCTTTCTCTGGGTGGTCTGGAGACCAGGTTGAAACGTGTTGATGTTTAGCAGTTCGGTTCTGCTAAACGTTGACAGGATTATCATGCTCTTTAAAGCGGTCAGCCTGTCCCAGGAAGCTGTGCTCCCGACGGAGAAGCTGTTTGTGTGTGGTTTCTGTTCCGAAGGCCTCAGCAGTTTTAAGTTTCCTAAGCAAGTGAGTAGTGGCATCGTCCGGGTCTGATTCACTGGGACGTTTCTGTCCTGGAGGAGAAGGTCAAGTCTCGTTGCCGCCTCAGAAACTCCACCCTCTGCCCGTCTTGGTTCTGTGGCACTGGCGGCATCTGGAACCAGCACACACCTGGCCGGGGAGTGTCCGCCAACGGCAGCCCCCTCATTGAACTGCCTTTGAAAACTAAAGTTGGGGAAGATGTACTGTGCCTGCTTCTGAATATCATGTGTGTGATTCTACCTCGGGAGTGTGCTCTAAGGGACGTGTGGCCATTCATCTTGTCTGCAGAAGAAACCTCCCGCCTTCGTCCCTCCTGACTCAGCTCCCGGGGCCCCCACGCCGCCCCCCTGGAGAGAGCGAGTGAGCAAAACTGGGTGCCCCCCAGCCCCACTGGAGACAGTGAGCTTGCAAAACCTTCCCAGAGGAAGAGCCCTACTTTGGGAACTCACAAAATGGCATTTCTTGGCAAGTTTGTGAGTTTGCTCACGGCCACCTTCCTTGGACCCACAGGTCGGAGCAGTGGACTGACTTTTCTCATGTCCACACACATGTGAAACGTTTGTGTATCTTAGGCTCCCACTTAAGAAATGGGCTGCTGGCTGCAGGAAGCAGGAGGTCCGGGAAGCTCATTTGCTCCCTTGTCTGAAGGCATCATCTTGCTCCTTCCTCTGCGTACCTCGTACCTCGTGGGAGCAGGAGCAGGTGTCTCCTCCCCAGGCCCTGGGGCTCGTGGGGAAGACAGAAGAATGATCCGTGAGAAAGGGATTTGAAAGGGCTGAGAGCGTCCGTCAGGTGATTTTGCTTTTCTTTTTCTGGCGTTCTAAGCAGTGAGGATTTAGTGATGTGCTTGGACTCTCCACGCACACACACAGACCCACGTACCTGTCTTAGTTAGGAGTTGTTTACGAGGAGCAGAAATGGACTCCAGCTGCCTTAGGTGGATTGAGTTAGACTCTCCGAACACAGTCCTTCATCACAGGGGCCTCCAGATGCAGGAACGGCACCCAGCTGGGATGCGGAGGGACCAGCCTGGGGTTTCAGGAGCAGGTCGCTCTCGGGCTCCTTGGGGGCTCTGCAGCTTCTCTCGTTCGCTCCTCTCTGACTCTGGTGTCTCTCCTGCCCCTCCTTATCTGTCCTCCTCTCCGTCAGCTCCATTTCTCTCTGCTGTCCCTGGCCCAGCAAGGCGACCCCTGCCTGCCCTTGACGTGAGTTTATGGTTCTCACCTCCACTGTCAGCTCTTCAGCACTCCTCTACCTGCTCTGCATCCTGCCACGTTTAGGAAATGATGATTGCTTGTCTGCGGAGGTAAAGGGATGAGGCAGCTGGCCGCCAGAGGACAAGGACGTGGAGGGAGGGAAGAGGGAGTCCAGCGGCCCCTGAGGCTGAGAGGGCCAGTGCGGTGCCCTCCTGGAGCCTGCTCCTAGCACGCTGGTTGGGAAGCTCCCATCTTTTTTTTTTGTCTGTCGTCCAGGATGGAGTGCAGTGGTGCGATCTCAGCTCACTGCAACCTCCGCCTCCCAGGTTCAAGCAATTCTTCTGCCTCAGCCTCCTGAGTAGCTGGGATTACAGGTACCTGCCACCACGCCCAGCTAATTTTTGTATTTTTAGTAGAGATGAGATTTCACCCTGTTTGCCAGGGTGGTCTCTAACTCCTGACCTCAGGTGACCCACCTGTCTCGGCCTCCCAAAGTGCTGGGATTACAGGCGTGAGCCACTGCGCCCAGCTGGGAAGCTCTGGTCTTAGTGAATCCGTCTTTGTATCCACTTTCTGAACTTCCAGGAGAGAGCGTGATTGGTCTTAGATCAAGCGTGCACACCCACCATGATTGCCTGCCGTGGAACAAAGGGTGTGGGTGGGGTGGGGACTGCCGTCCCAGGGGAGGGTCTAGAGAGGAAGCCGGAGCCTGTTACATACCAGACAGGCTCCCTTCCTTTCTCGAAGGCGAAGACCTTTGTCTTGATCTGACCCCATACCGTCTGGCACAAATGCCTGGTAGGTTTGAGATGCTCAATAAGTGTTTATTGATGAAAAAGGACCAGGCACATGTGTGGTATGGAGCCGACGTCCTGCTGAGCAGTGGATAGGTACTTGGCCTATCCAGAAAAACCTCCGTCATCTCCACCACCCCTGGCGATCTGTCCTCAGACCACACTTCAGCCTCTCTGTCTGATGCATCTGACATCCAGGGCCATTCCTGCTGCTGTCCGCTTTCTTGTTAGCTTCTGAATCTGCAAACAGAGAAGGTAACCAGGAGGCAAGCTGCCTGTGTCTCTCAGTAGGAGGCATTTGGAACCAATCGTGTGGTGGCCCCTTTGAGTTCGCTGTTTGGAAGTAAAGTGACATGCACGAATACTGACTGCATTGTAAAAATGGCTTTCCGGCCAGAGCCTTGGACTTTGTGTTTTGATGGAAACGCCCATCTAAATTTCCTGCTTTATTTTTTCTTAATGACCAGGCACGAACCTGGCAAATGCTACTATTTTTTAAATCCTGCTCGTGTTAAGCCGTAGCAGTACCTTTTAGAGACAAGAAATCAGCTGGGCGCAGTGGCTCACGCCTGTAATCCCAACACTTTGGGAGGCTGAGGCGGGCAGATCACCTGAGGTCAGGAGTTTGAGCCCAGCCCTGGCCAACATGGTGAAACCCTGTCTCTCCTAAAAATACAAAGAAATTAGCCGGGCGTGGTGGTGGGTGCCTATAATCCCAGATACTCAGGAGGCTGAGGTAGGAGAATTGCTTGAAGCCAGGAGGCAGAAGTTGCAGTGAGCCGAGATCGTGCCATTGCACTCCAGCGTGGGCGACACGGCAGGACTCCGTCTCAAAAAAAAAACAAAACAGGAAATCAACGTTCAGTAATTGGAAATGAATCGTCAGGGGTTGACGTCCTCCTGAGGGTGTCAGGGACCACAGAGAACCTCTGCTTAATTCGTAGTGTTTCATCTTCGATCCTTCACTCGCCCCGTTTTGTAACAACTTTATGTAGCAGAAAGAGAGACGAGAATTGATGTTGGTCTGGAAGAAGTGGGGAACGTGATACTTTGTTCTGTATTTACTCCTATATTTATTTCTTTATTGGGCTTGTAGCTGTTTTTTCTTATTCTACATCAATCACTTGGATGCATAAATTCAAAGACATATGTTTGCGGGTCTCACACATCTGTCTTGAATTTCATCTTTTCCACCCTGTCTTCTACTTTCCAAACAATTTACCTCCCCTCTCTCTCTCTCCCTGCTGTTACTTATTTCATTGTGTGACGGAACCCTTTCATTTCAGGAGCTGGTGGAGGGAAAGAATGCAAGCCACAGTCCGTTTCTATATAAAGGCATCTTTGGTACTGGGTGGTCACAGTTTCTTAGTGTCGGACACGATTCCTTTTGCTGTGGACGTGGCTGGTCCGTGGCAGTGGGGCTGAGGCTGTTTGCAGAGCTGTGGACACGCCTGGCTTGCCGGATTCCCAGTGAGGTGACATTACCGCTGTGGACCGGTCCAGGCCAATTTAGAGAAAGCCTTCACGTGCCAGGCTCCGTGCAGAACGGTCCCTTCTGACTTTTTTCTTTGATCTCTTTTTCCAGGCTGGGAGTTTCTCACATCATTGTAAATATTTCCTCTCCCCTCCTTGTCATTTGGCCCAGGGCTCAGTGGGGACTTCCTGAAGCAGGAAAGTGATCAACACGGGGTTTATAACTGGGCACTGGAAAGTTCTGCCAAGAAACAGAGCTTTCCACGCAGCCGAGAAGGGAAAAAAAAAAAGCCCTTGTGAAATAACAATCAAATAGGAAATTGAGAAGGGAGCTGTGCCGAGTGCTAGTGGCTCCGCGGGGGGACAGGTACGGACGGTGCCGAGATGACAAACATCTCCGTGGTTCCCACCAACCACACTTCCTGCTCTTCTGTTCATTTTGCAGAGCGGACACGGAAAAGCTCACCCTGCCGACTTGGAATTTATAATAGCATTTGGGGCGGTAGGCGCTACGTAGTCACATTCCTCATCTACCAGAAGCTGCGGAAAGTTTCGAGATGATTTGACTATGTGGGATATGATGAGGTTTCTCTTCAAATAATCTGATCAATCTTTTATTCTTTAATTCATTGTACCCCTCCACCCCCACCATTTTTCTCCTTTTTTCTCCTTTTCCCTTCTCGCCTTTGTTAAGTGCCCAGCATGCCACAGTACCAAGCGTTATCAGTACCAGCTCACATTCCTTTCCTTATTTAAAGAAAGACTAACTTTCTGGCTCATTACAGACACCCCTTCCCCTTTCCCTCCACTTTTCTTTAACGTACCCACCCTATCTAAAAAAAAATCAAATGTTTATCCAACTGGGATTAGTTTATATTATAAGACCCGACTCCGGCCAATAAAAAAAGGGTACAGGGGCAGGACTTGTGTCAGGAATGAAGGCTTTTGTGCCCCTTTGTTCAGGTGTGCTCTCATGGCGACTGGCCAAAGGGGCACCCCTCTGTGCAAAAATAAAACTGCTTTGCTAAAAGTCCTTTGTTCGTGTGTTCAATTTCCTTAAAATTTTTTTTCTTTTTTCTTTTCTTTTTTTTTTTTTTTTTTGAGACAATTTCTCTCTGTCGCCAGGCTGGAGTGCAGTGGCACGATCTTGGCTCACTGCAACTTCCACCTCCCGGGTTCACGCAATTCCCTGCCTCAGCCTCCCGAGCAGCTGGGATTACAGGCGCCCACCACCACAGCTAATTTTAGTAATTTTAGTAGAGATGGGGTTGTCTTGGCCAGGCTGGTCTTGAACTCCTGACCTTGTGATCCACCTGCCTTGGCCTCCCAAAGTGCTGGGATTATAGGCACAAGCCACCGTGCCTGGCAATTTCCTTAAAATTGTGAGCATTATTCCTAACACCTAATTTTTAAAACCTTATTTATTTATTTATGAGATGCAGTCTCGCTCTGTCCCCCAGGCTGGAGTGCAGTGGTGTGATCTCGGCTCACTGCAACCTCCGCCTCCCAGGCTCAAGTGATTCTCTGGCCTCCAAGCAATTCTCCCGCCTCAGCCTCTCGAGTAGCTGGGATTACAGGCATGAGCCACCACACCCGGCTAATTTTTGTATTTTTAGTAGAGACGGGGTTTTGCCATGTTGGCCAGGCTGGTCTCAAATTCCTGACCGCCTGGCCTCCTCCTCGGCCTCCCGAAGTGTTGGGATTACAGGCGTGAGCCGCCACACCCGGCGTATTTGCCTGGTTTCTTTTCTGCTGAGGAACCATGACAAATGTGTGAAAATGGAATATCCGCCTGCCTATGGCTCAGGCTGTGTCTCCAGGTCAAATGTGAGGAGCTGGTAGCACACATCAGCATCCAGCTGATTGGCCTGACTGTCATCATCAGCATCCCCATTTATTGAGTATCTCTCACGTGTAAGGCACTGAAGATACAAAGTGGTCTAAGATGTAGACCCTGAAGGGCCTCGTCTTATGAGGGAGAGGTGAGATGGTCTTTGGATGTCCAGCCTGTAAGGGTGATGATGGTAGGATTCTAGAAGGGTGGAATTCTCTCTCTGATGTTGAGTCCCTAAAGGTGATGACGGTAGGATTCTAGAAGGGTGGAATTCTCTCTCGGATGTTGAGTCCATAAGGGTGATGACGGTAGGATTCTAGAAGGGTAGAATTCTCTCTTGGATGTTGAGTCCCTAAGGGTGATGATGGTAGGATTTTAGAAGGGTGGAATTCTCTCTCGGATGTTGAGTCTGTAAGGGTGATTGATGATGGTAGGATTCTAGAAGGGTGGAATTCTCTCTAGAAGGGTGGAATTCTCTCTAGAAGGGTGGAATTCTCTCTCACTCTCAATTCAGTGGATCACCTCCCGTGTTCCCATAGTTTATGAAGTTGACCTTTCTCACTGGAGCTTCTCACTGTAGCAGCTGGTCCTAGGAGTTCTCTCCCGTGCTGTGAGTCTGTGCTGGACGTGTCAGTCAAGTGCTATGTTGGAAATTACTAGAAAATCAGCCTGGAGCTCTGGGGTGCTGGGATGAGCCCTGGTGTCCTGTCCTCGGGCACCTGCACTGACCCTGTCTCCTGGGGGTAGGTCTGTTTTCAGGCATCTTGGCATGGATTTTTGTTTTCATTAAAAAAAACAGGCTGGGTGCAGTGGCTCATGCCTGTAATCCCAGCACTTTGGGAGGCCGAGGCGGGCAGATCACAAGGTCAAGAGCTTGAGACCAGCCTGGGCAACATGATGAAACCCTGTCTCTACTAAAAATACCAAAATTAGCCGGGTATGGTGGCAGGTGCCTGTAATCCCAGCTCCTCAGGAGGCTGAGGCAGGAGAATCGCTTGAACCTGGGAGGCGGAGGTTGTAGTGAGCCAAGATCGCACCACTGCACTCCAGCCTGGGTGACAGAAGGAGACTCCATCTCAAAAAAAAGAAAAAAAAGAAAAGAAAAAAAGAAACCTTGTACGTAGAAACCTACCATATATTTGTATTTTTTGCAAAGTCCTTTCATTGGCCTTCACATGCGATCGCCTCATAGCTTGTTCCGAGCCACAGGAGTGGATGGGCTGGGGTTAGGGTGAACTGGTGACATCTCCCACCTTCCAGCTAAGGAGGGCAGGACGGGACGTGTGATGGCCTGGTCTCCACCTTCCAGCTAAGGAGGGCAGGACGGGACGTATGATGGCCTGGTCTCCACCTTCCAGCTAAGGAGGGCAGGACGGGACGTGTGATGGCCTGGCCGCCACCTTCCAGCTAAGGATGGGTGGGACGGGACGTAGGATGGCCTGGTCTCCCACCTTCCAGTTAAGGAGAGGCAGGATGGGACGTAGGATGGCCTGGTCTCCACCTTCCAGCTAAGGAGGGCAGGACGGGATGTATGATGGCCTGGTCTCCACCTTCCAGTTAAGGAGAGGCAGGACGGCACGTAGAATGGCCTGGTCTCCACCGCCTGGTCTCCACCTTCCAGCTAAGGAGGGGCGGGACGGGACGTATGATGGCCTGGACAGGCGTGTTTTTGCAGCAGATTCCCCAAAGCGACAGGGAATGACCGTTTTCCCTCCACGGAGTCCTCATTCCTATGCCTCCTTTCTTCCTTGTTCTTTTTTCTTAGTCTCACGGGTTCTGGAAAGATCTGGAGTGAAAACGTTCAGATTTGTTTCTCTTTGTGAATGAACTTAACATTCTGGGTCGAACCCGTGTGATGGCCCATCTCCCAAAGACGCTGCAGGTCAGGGTCCCAACGTTCACGTCGAAAGGTGCTACTCAGAGTGAGCGTGGCACATCTGAGCTCTTTCCTAGTAATGTCAGCAGGGAGATCCACAAGGCTGCAAGCCACAGAAACCCTATCCCCCACTAGAAGTGACTGCCTCTGGGATGGGGTCCCTTTGACTCCAGATCGACGCTGGCTCCTCACTCCCCCTCCTATGCAAACTCCCAGCCGCTTCTTAAGATCTCTCCTGAGCACATATGGCCCTAGCCTGTTATTACCAGCCACCCGCTTGCTGTCCCAAACCACTCTGCCCAGTGGAGGCTTTCATACCAGATGGGGCTTTAGGAAATCCCTTCTGTCAGCTTGCGAGAGCTGCAGCATGGGGGAAACAGCCTTTCCCTCCGTCTGTGGTGTCGGCCAGAAAGAGCCTGGCAGCCATATGCCGTTTGTGCTCCCAGCTAACTGCTCATCTCCTGGCTCGCGGAGCCATGAGGGCAGGAAGTCGAATGGCACAGTCAATGAACCTCCTTAATTGGTGTTACAGATGAGATCGCGTTCCCTGTGTCGGGGAACCGGACTCCCCACGCCAGCAGCCAACGGGCGTCATTAAATACTTTGCGTTCGGCACATTTGAAAGGGTGAGAAGTAAACATCAGTGTGTTTGTCTCTTCATTCGTGGCCATTATTTTAACCTCAGTTATTTGTTGTTGTTCATTGACTTCAGTCTGAAGGTGCAGCTTGCTTGCTTGCTTTCTTCCTTCTTTCTTTCTTTCTTTCTTTCTTTCTTTCTTTCTTTCTTTCTTTCTTTCTCTCTTTCTCTCTTTCTCTCTTTCTCTCTTTCTCTCTTTCTCTCTTTCTTTCTTTCCTTTCTTTTTTTGAGACGGAATTTTGCTCTTGTTGCCCAGGCTGGAGTGCAATGGCGCGATCTCGGCTTACCGCAACCTCCGCCTCCCAGGTTCAAGCAATTCTCCTGCCCCAGCCTCCCGAGCAGCTGAGATTACAGGCGTGTGCAACCACGCCCAGCTAATTTTTGTATTTTTGGTAGAGACGGGGGTTTCACCATATTGGCTGGGCTGGTCTTGAACTCCTGACCTCAGGTGATCCACCCGCCTCAGCCTCCCAAAGTGCTGGGATTACAGGCATGAGCCACTGCACCCTGCCCTGAAGGTGCACTTTCTGAACGGAAGTTTAGTAGCCAAGTTGCCTGGGGAGTGACTCCTGGAAGGAGGAGGAGACGGGCCCCCACGTGTCTCGGGATGTGCCGTAGGTGCCTCTGGTTGGCGTCTTCGAAGGTGGGTTGCATGTGAGACGCGGCCCCGTGTTCATCCTTCATCCTCCCCAGTAACCCACGTGGCCTTCCCCGCCGGGATCACGGAACTGCAGCCCACAGCCGGACCCGGGCTCCCGGCCATGTGCAGCACTGCATTTCCATTTCTTAGCCTTTCATGCTTCACCTGTGTGGCCACCAGCGGCTCCCCTGTGTCTCTGGGCTTTCTGGTTGGAACTAGCGACTGTTTCTGTATAAAATTCTGCCATCTCCCATTTTGAAAAAGAAGGGCCCACAGATCAGTGCTAGCCGGGAAAATGTCTTTCTTTCCTTGATGAAGTGGCGGGTTTAACTGGAAGGATGTCGAGCAGGTTTAATTGGAAGGGTGTCGAGCAGGTTTTTTGTTTTGTTTTTGAGAGGGAGTCTCTCTCTGTCGCCCAGGCTGGAGTGCAATGGCGGGATCTCAGCTCACTGCAACCTCTGCCTCCCAGGTTCAAGCGATTCTCCTGCCGCAGCCTCCTGAGTTGCTGGGGTTACAGACATGCGCCACCACACCCGGCTCATTTTTGCCTTTTTGGTAGAGACAGATTTCACCATGTTGACCAGGCTGGCCTCCAACTCCTGAGCTCAGGTGATCCGCCCACCTCGGCCTCCCAAAGTGCTGGGATTACAGACGTGAGCCGCCGTGCGCCACCTAGAGCAGGTGTAATTGGAAGGATGTAGAACAGGTTTAATCAGAAGGATTGCTGCTTTTGTCCAGTTTGTGCCTTTGCCGCACCCAGAGCCACTGCTGGAAGTGGACACTCCTGGGCTCTCCCTTTCCTTTGTCAGGGTGGACCTGCTCACCGGCGTGAGATGTGCCATGGTCAGGGTGGACCTGCTCGCCGGCGTGAGATGCGCTGTGGTCAGGGTGGACCTGCTTGCCCGTGTGAGATGCTCTGTGGTCGGGGGGACCTGCTCGCCGGCGTGAGATGCTCCGTGGTCAGGGGGGACCTGCTCGCCGGCGTGAGATGCTCCATGGTCGGGGGGACCTGCTCGCCCGTGTGAGATGCGCCGTGGTCAGGGGGGACCTGCTCGCCCGTGTGAGATGCGCCGTGGTCAGGGGGACCTGCTCGCCCGTGTGAGATGCGCCGTGGTCAGGGGGGACCTGCTCGCCGGCGTGAGATGCACCGTGTGTGGGCTGCTCTGGGTCCCAGCCCTGGCAGGGTTGGCGGCACCAGGATGGTCTCATCACCATCTAGTCCAGTGCTGCCTCTTTGACGCCCCTGCAGCGTGAGGGCCGCATGCGGGGCCTGTTGCCCTGGCATGGACTTTCTGAAGTAGCATCTGGAAGGGCCCACATGAGAAGTATTCACGTGTGAGTGCTAACTGTGAGCCAGGGATGTTTCCAAGCCCTTCGTGCCTACGATCTATCCACACAGTAACCCTAGCAGGGAGGTGCCCCCCAGACCATTCTGCAGCTGAAGAGAGTGAGGTGTGGGGAGACTAAGTCATTTACCCAAAGTGGCAGAGCCGGGATTCGAACCCAAGCCATCTGCTCCTGTGCCGGCACTCTCACCCTACACTCTGCCTCCCGCCGCCGTGCGGTGGAGGAGTGGGGGCTGCCAGAACACAGCGGCCCCCTTGGAGAAAGGCTTGTGGGGGCAGTGGTTGTTTTGTGTTCACCCTAAGAGAAGCTTGGTGTGCCGTCCTTTATCCTGGGAGTCGTCTGTGTGTTTGACAGCATTTGGAGCAACAGGTTAGGATGGAAGCCGGCTTGCCATGGACACACATCTCTCAGATAAAGAGAGAAAAGGAGGACACAGCCGATCGGATCCTCTGCCTGTCACGCTAGCAGCAAAGTGATTTCTGTTGTAAAAGAGTATCTCGCCGGTGAAGTGAGGCTCTTAAGACGTAAGAAGTCTGCACGCCGGCCGGGCGCGGTGGCTCACGCCTGTAATCCCAGCACTTTGGGAGGCCCAGGCGGGCGGATCACGAGGTCAGGAGATCAAGACCATCCTGGCTAACATGGTGAAACCCTGTCTCTACTAAAAATACAAAAAATTAGCTGTGCGTGGTGGCAGGCGCCTGTAGTCCCAGCTACCTGGGAGGCTGAGGCAGGAGAATGGTGTGAACCCGGGAGGTGGAGCTTGCAATGAGCCGAGATGGCGCCACTTCACCCCAGCCTGGGCGGCAGAGCGAGACTCCGTCTCAAGAAAAAAAAAAAGAAGTCTCTGCACACCAGGCTGAGAGTAACCGGCATTTCCTGTGTACAGTTGTCCCCTGGTCCTTCTATCTGGAGGTATCCCAAGTTGATAGGAGACCTAAGAAGTCATTTCCCCATTCTCCCTCCACCAGAATGGGAGCCTGCTGCTGGCATGGGTGCTAAATGGGGGTTACAGGGAACATCATATTTTTCCATTTATGGTCCAGTAGAAATGGTAATATTCTCTCTCTCTCTCTTTTTTTTTTTTTTGAGACAGTCTCGCTCTGTCGCCCACGCTGGAGTGCAGTGGCACGATCTCAGCTCACTGCAACCTCCACCTCTTGGGTTAAAGCAATTCTCCTGCCTTAGCCTCCCAAGTAGCTGGGATTACAGGCACCTGTCTCCTTGCCCAGCTAATTGTTGTATGTTTAATAGAGACGGGGTTTCACCATGTTGGCCAGGCTGGTCTCGAACTCCTGACCTCAGGTAATCTGCCCGCCTCGGCCTCCCAAAGTGCTGGGATTATAGGTGTGAGCCACCGTGCCTGGCCTTTTTTTTTTTTTTTTTAACAAGGTCTCTCTGTCGCCAGGCTGGAGTGCAGTGGCACCATCACGATTCACTGCAGCCTTGACCACACCAGGTTCAGGTGATCCTCCTGCCTCAACCTCCTGCGTAGCTGGGACTACAGATGTGTGCCACCATGCCAGGCTAATTTTTTTTTAGAGATGAGATTTCACCATGTTGCCCAGGGGTCTCGAACTCCTGAGCTCAAGTGACCCACCCACCTTGGCCTCCCAAAGTGCTGAAGTTACAGGCGTGAGCTGCCGTGCATACCTGGCACTTTTTCTTTTCAGATATCCTCCTCCTCATTATTTCTAGCATGTATTTGAACACTTCCTATGTTTTATTTTATTTTAAATTTATTTTTTGAGACAGAGTTTCACTCTGGTTGCCCGGGCTGGAGTGCAGTGGTGTGACCTCGGCTCACTGCAACCTCCGCCTCCCAGGTTCAAGCGATTCTCCTGTCTCAGCCTCCCGAGTAGCTGGGATTACAGGCACCTGCCACCAAGACCAGCTAATTTTTGTATTTTTAGGAGAGATGGGGTTTCACCATGTTGGCCACACTGGTCTTGAACTCCTGACCTCAAGTGATCCGCCCGCCTCGGCCTCCCAAAATGCTGGGATTCCAGGCGTGAGCCACCGCGTCCGGCCTGACGCTCACTATGAACCAAGCAGTGTTGTCAGCACCGCACGTGCATTAATCCAGTTCTCACAGCAACAGGACGAAGCAGTGTTGTTATTATCCTCATTTTACTCATGAGGAAAGTGACACTCCGAGAGGTGTGTGGCTGGAGTTCCCCTGGTGGTTCATAGCAGAGCGGGGATTTGAACCCAGGCAGCCTGGCTCCAGAACCACATTCTCCACCGTTTGATCTATCCCACACGGCCTCCAGCAAACACAGGTATCGACTGAAGATTTCACTGACCAGTGAGGACCAAACTCAACCCGGAACGGTGGGTTCTTGGAGCGGCCCCCGTTTGGAAGGGAGGCAGCTGTAGGGCGGATGTTTGAGATAGTTCAGTGTGTTTGAAGATTCAGGGCCCTCCTGGCAGCTCTAGTCAACCAGAATGCAGCCACTCTTCCTCCTGGGCCTTCTTTTGCTCATTTCTCCTGGCAGTTGGCCTGATCTGCCATATGTGGTTGTTGCTTCATATTTTTATATTGTGGCCAAATATATGTAACGTAAAGTTTACCATTTTCACCGTTTCCCACTTCTAAACTGTAAGGTTTTTGAAAGCCGACTCGGCGTCTCACCACTTTCATCCCTGTGGCACTTTGATTAGAGTGTTGTAAGTCACAGCTGATTCAGCTCTGTCGGGTTGCAAAGCCCAGCTAGGTCATCTGTAAATTGGTTAGAAAATTCACTGTTATGGCCGGGCGCGGTGGCTCACGCCTGTAATCCCAGCTTCTGGGGAGGCCGAGGTGGGCGGATCACCTGAGGTCAGGAGTTTGAGACCAGCCTGGCCAAGATGGTGAGACCCCGTCTCAACTAAAAATACGAAAATGAGCCGGGTGTGGTGGTGGGCACCTGTAATCCCAGCTACTCGGGAGGCGGAGGCAGAAGAATTGCTTGAACCCAGGAGGCAGAGGTTGTGGTGAGCAGAGATCGAGCCACTGCACTCCAGCCTGGGCGACAGAGCGAGACTCCATCTCAAAAAAAAAAAAAAAAAAAAAAAGAAGGAAAGGAAAATTCAGTGTTCTGAGATTTAGAGAGATGAAAAATAGATTTTAAATCCCCTTCTACCCAGTCTTTTTATTTTAATGCAGCCTGGCGTGGCAGAGAAGGACCCAGAAAGAACGTGTGCGGCATATATCATGCTCGGTGGCTTTGTCTGCAGGAATCAGAGTGGACATGTTGTTTTGTGAACCTCACGCTCTTGCCATCCTTGGGGCATGCATAGGTCCTCTCTGTGAACCAGCTGAAAACATGTAGCATCAAAATGGCAGAGCCACCAGGAGGGTTTGGAATTCTCATAGGTTGGTGACGGCTCGGATCAGCCTGGCCCGGACCCCCGGCCCCTTTCCCTTGGTCACACGGGCTGGTCTGTTCTCTGCTTCAGCTCCAGGCGAAGGCAGAATGCGCAGGTGGGGAGGGTACAGGATCTAAGGCACCATCGGGCAAAGCGAGAGAAGCTCTGATCCCACCAGCGCTGGATTCGAATCATTTCTTCTGCCATTTCAGGAGCATTCTGGGCCCCCCAGGAACAAGGGGGAGCCGTGGTCATGAAAAAGCCATTAAGTAGCTGAGCTGGACTGATTAGGGGGCATCTGTTCTGGCTGACCTAGGACGGTGATTCCTCTCTCCCTTCCTCTGTTCATTTGTTGTTCATCTATCATTTATTGGACACATAATGTGCCCAGGCACTGCTCTTGGCCAGCAGGTATACTAGGCTCTGAGGATTGCAGTCATGGGCCAAATCACACACTGGGAATCATGCCTCAGGAGCAAGGGGATCCAAGACTGGGCCTTACCTCTGGGGATATGAGGACAAGGTCCTGCTGGAGCATTTAGAAGATGGCATGGGGGCTGAACACAGTGGCTTACACCTGTAGCCCCAGCACTTTGGGAGTCTGAGATGGGAGGAACGCTTGAGCTCAGGAGTTTGAGACCAGCCTGGGGCACATAGCGAGACGCTGTTGCCACAAAACATCAAAAAATTAGTGAGGCATGGTGGTGTGCGACCGTAGTCCCAGCTCCTCGGAGGCTGAGGTGGGGGGATCACGTGAGCCCGGGTGGTGGAGGCTGCAGTGAGCTATGATTGTGTCACTGCTCTCCAGCCTGGGCGACAGAGCAAGACTCTGGGTCTAGAAAATAATAATAATAATAATAATAATAATAGCAACTAAGCTAGGTGTGGTGGCTCACGCTTGTAATCCCAGCACTCTGGGAGGCTGAGGTGGGAGGATGGCTTGAGCCCGGGAGGTGGAGGCTGCAGTGAGCCATGATTTTGCCTGGGCCACAGAATGAGACCCATTGTCTGTGTCAGCGCCTTAGCTTAAAGCAACTAACACTTATTTCATACCTAATATTGGCCAGTCTTTATGCTAAGCGCTCTATGTAACTCATGTTCACAGCAGTTCAGTGAGGTGTAGGTTCTGTTATCTACATTTTGCAGCTGAGGAAGCCAAGAGACGGTGAGATACCTCACCAGGGTCACCCACTAATAAGCGGCTGGAACAGATGGAAGAGCCGGGCTCTGGAGCCGGAACCTGTGCTGAGTAACCTCAGTGTTCGTCCTGGTGTGACATTGGAGGCTGGGATGAGGGGGATTCCTGCTCTCAGTGTATATCATGGTGTTTGGTCATTTGGGGTTAGAAAGGGTGAGAGCACATTTAGGGCTCTGTTTTCAAATGCTGCTCACAGAAAGGATGGTTTTGATTGTGGTCGGCATTTGGCTGGAGGGCAGGGGTGACGTTTGCCCGAGAAGGCTTGGCTGACCTGGCCAAGGAGTTTGCGGATGAATCCTACATCTGCGTTGGCTTTGCCTTGATCCCACAGATTTGCAGCAGCTGTTGGAAAGAAAAGCTGAGGCTCCCCAGTCAAGAGCAAGACCTGGTCCTTAGCATGCGGGGGCAGATTCCATGTTGCTCTCGGGAACTGGGACTTCTCGGAAATCACCAGGCTGCATTTCCCTGCGGCCTCTGTGGGGGCTGATGAATCCCACCGGTGTTTTTCCCCTGCGGCCTCTGTGGGGGCTGACGAATCCCACCGGTGTTTTTTCCCCGCGGCCTCTGTGGGGGCTGACGAATCCCACCGGTGTTTTTCCCCTGCGGCCTCTGTGGGGGCTGACGAATCCCACCGGTGTTTTTTCCCTGCGGCCTCTATGAGGCTGACGAATCCCACCGGTGTTTTTCCCCTGCGGCCTCTATGAGGCTGACGAATCCCACCGGTGTTTTTCCCCTGCGGCCTCTGTGGGGGCTGACGAATCCCACCGGTGTTTTTTCCCTGCGGCCTCTATGAGGCTGACGAATCCCACCGGTGTTTTTCCCCTGCGGCCTCTATGAGGCTGACGAATCCCACCGGTGTTTTTCCCCTGCGGCCTCTGTGGGGGCTGACGAATCCCACCGGTGTTTTTTCCCTGCGGCCTCTATGAGGCTGACGAATCCCACCGGTGTTTCAGATTTGCTGGACTTTCTCGTTGGCATTTTTACCGTTTCCCGGTTCCCAGTCCCGTCCCTTTTGATATGTGTTTCATTGTTTTGTTGGTCACTGTAGAAGCGTTTCTGGCCTGCATTCCTAGGATAGTTCCAACCACAGCCTTGGAGTCTTTCAGCAGAACCCACTGCCAGGCGGAGCAGTGGGAACTTTCAAGTAACTGGATAACCCACTTTGTCATCCGTTTCCATTTTTGCCAAGTTGAGCTAATCTTGTCTCCTCTTTGTTTTTTTTCTTTGTTCTCTGTGGCCTGGCTTCTGAATTTGATGAACTAATCATAAACAGTAGAGTTGTAGGCGTTGGGGGTTTGCTATGACGTTTTCTTTTTTTTTTTTTTTTGAAACAGAGTCTCGGTCTGTCTTCCAGGCTGGAGTGCAGTGGCACGATCTCAGCTCACTGCAAGCTCCGCCTCCTGGGTTCACGCCATTCTCCTGCCTCAGCCTCCCGAGTAGCTGGGAGTACAGGCACCCGTCACCACACCCGGCTAATTTTTTGTATTTTTAGTAGAGACAGGGTTTCACCATGTTAGCCAGGATGGTCTCGATCTCCTGACCTTGTGATCCGCCCGCCTCGGCCTCCCAAAGTGCTGGGATTACGGGCGTGAGCCACCGCGCCAGGCCTGCTGTGACGTTTTCTGTTGGCATTGTGTGGCCTTTGGGTGGCTGTGGTAGAAGACCATTCAGCAAGGGATCATGAGAATGCACCCTGGGGCCAGGCGTGGTGGCTCACGCCTGTCATCTCAGCACTTTGGGAGGGTGAGGTCAGGAGTTTGAGACCAGCCCAGCCAACATGGTGAAACCCTGTCTCTACTAAAAGTACAAAAATTAGCCAGACACAGTGGCTCACACATGTAATCCCAGCACTTTGGGAGGCCAAGGCGGGCAGATCACTTGAGGTCAGGAGGTTCGAGACCAGCGTGCCCAACGTGGTGAAACCCCATCTCTACTAAAAATACAAAATTAGGTCGGGCGTGGTGGTGGGCGCCTGTAATCCCAGCACTTTGGGAGGCCAAGGTGGGCGGATCATAAGGTCAGGAGGTTTGAATCTCTACTAAAAATACAAAAATTAGCCAGGCATGGTGGTTGGTGCCTGTAATTCCAGCTACTCAGGAGGCTGAGGCAGGAGAATCACTTAAACCCAGGAGGTGGAGGTTGCAGTGAGCTGAGATCGCACCATTGCACTCCAGCCTGGGCAACAGAGCAAGACTAACAAAATGCACCCTGGGTGGATACGTTGCCAGGATGATCTCTAGACAGAGCAAACACTGGATGTAAAGTCATCTGGTCTTTCCCAGCTGCTGCAATGCCAGACAGTGCAGCCCTTTTGAGACAGGGTCTTGCCCCGTCACTCATGCTGGGGTGCAGTGACACGATCACAGCTCATCGTAGCCTTGACCTCCCATGCTCAAAGCATCCTCTTACCTCAGCCTCTTAAGCAGCTGGAGCTACAGGAGTGGCCACCACGCCTGGCTAATTTTTGTATTTTTTTGTGGAGTGATAGGGTTTTACCATGTTGTCCAGGCTGGTCTTGAACTCCTGGGCTCAAGCGATCCACCCGCCTCGTCCCCCCAGAGTGCTGGGATTCCAGGCGTGAGCCACCGCACCTGGCCCTGAGAAATGCTTTTTTAAAAAGGACAGTGAGTTCTCTCAGTCCTGGGTGGCTCTGATGTTCGCCATCCTGAAGGCATGAGCTCTGCCTGAGTTTAGGAACACAGCGACAGTGGGAGAGCGGGGAGAGTGAGATTTTTTTTTCTTTTTTAATCACCCGCTCTTCACTGTTAACGTCATCTTAGGTTTTCGGCAGATCCTGACTACATTGGAGGAATGTTTACAGCAGGATACAGATGGGGCAGGATTATCTCTCTCTCAGTTGAATCAAGGTCAAGACGTGCACTGACATGAACTCTTAAGACAGGGAGGTCTTCATTTGGGGTCTGTAGACCTCCCGTGATCAGTTTCCGCTAACAGGCTTCAGGGGGATTTATGAACTCTGTGAATTTATACACTGACTTTTTGCTGTATGTGCCTTTTTCTCTGCTGAAAGATCCATAGCTTTTGTCCTCAAAACTGTCTGTGACCCAAAAATGACTATGAAACCGCTGTTTTCAGAGGCATTTTGAAAACCTTTGGTGGACTCGAGGGGCCCCTCACACTTGAAAGGGTGCAGAGGTGAATCTTGCTGATCATTTCTTTAAGCTGAAGCATTTTTTGGTTTCCGGGCTGCGTAAGTGAATCCGCAAGTCACTCCTGGATGACTTCTCTGACAGAAGGGTCGCCTTCTGATTCGTGTGTTTTTCGGAATGGTGACTCCCGTGCAGACCACATTGTTTCAGAGCCGAGTAACCTTCATGCTTTGGGTGGCCTGAGGCGCCCACAGATGCAGCTCCCTAATGAATGACATGGGTTCCTGGATAAATTAGACCACGATGGCTTTGTCTGTAAAAGAAATAACTTTTCGGCCGGGTGCGGTGGCTCATGCCTGTAATCCCAGCATTTTGGGAGGCTGAGGTGGGCGGATCACGAGGTCAGGAGGTCGAGACCATCCTGGCTGACACGGTAAAACCCCGTCTCTACTAAAAAATACAAAAAATTAGCTGGGCGTGGTGGCAGGTGCCTGTAGTCCCAGCTACTCGGGAGGCTGAGGCAGGAGAATGGTGTGAACCCAGGAGGCGGAGCTTGCAGTGAACTGAGATCGCGCCACTGCACTCCAGCCTGGGGGACAGCGAGACTCCGTCTCAAAGAAACAAATAAAAAGCGTCAGATGTGAGTCTAGAAGGAAATTTTTTCCCCACTAACCCAGCGTGGGCCTTTACGTGGAAACAAAGACCCAACAGTAAATGGATAAAACACAAGCAGAGACCTCCTGTGCTCCTGAGATGCAACCAGAAAGGAACGGGGAATCTTTAGGGAGGGAGGGAAGATGCAGGTTACAGTTTCTTACCCATCCAGAGAGGATTCCGAGAGGAAAGACATGTCTGTGGAGACTGGGGGCAGGGCAGGGAGAGGTGTTACAACTCTTCTACTCACATAAGAGTTTCAGAAGAAACTGGTTCTTCTTTAGCTGGCAAGGTTTGGGAGATGGCGTTTCTCCTGAGCATTTAGAGGGTAGAGGCTGTTCAGGTACCAAAACCCCACCACCATTTCCTTAAAAATTCCTGGCTGAGGCTGGGCATGGTGGCTCACGCCTGTCATCCCAGCACTTTGGGAGGCCAAGGCGGGCGGACACGAGGTCAGGAGATCGAGACCATCCTGGCTAACAAGGTGAAACCCCGTCTCTACTAAAAAAAAAAAAAATACAAAATAGTAGCTGGGTGTGGTGGCGGGCACCTGTAGTCCCAGCTACTCAGGAGGCTGAGGCAGGAGAATGGTGTGAACCTGGGAGGCGGAGCTTGCAGTGAGCCGAGATCGCGCCACTGCACTCCAGCCTGGGTGACAGAGCGAGACTCCATCTCAAAAAAGAAAAAAAAATTCCTGGCTAAGAGCAAAGCACATGCTTACGTTTGAAGGGTAATAGGGGTGCTTAAATGCAAACCACTCTAATAATCATGTTGCATCTGCTAGCTTTACATTTGAGGACCACAGGCTGAAATTTACTTCAGGCAACAGTCCAGCTACCCACAGAGAGATTCCTGTTACAAGGTGGCATTTGCTTGTGGGAGCCCCAAGCCCCACAGAACATAAGATCCTAGTGATCCCTTAATAATACATGTGAGTAAGGAGGATCTCTTCTAAGAAGGCAAGGATAGTTTAATCTTAGACTGGACACTCATGAAATATACCACAACAGGTTCAAAGAATAATCAGTAGCCATCCATTCCTGATAAAATTTTGATCAAAAAGTTATGGAAGGCCAGGCGCAGTGGGTCATGCCTATAATCCCAGCACTTTGGGAGGCCAAGGTGCTTGGATCACCTGAGGTCAGGAGTTCCAAACCAGCCTGGCCAACAGGGTGAATCCGGTTCTCTAATAAAAATACAAAAATTAGCCAGGTGTGGTGGCGAATGCCTGTAATCGCAGCTACTCAGGAGGCTGAAGCATGAGAATTGCTTGAACCTGGGAGGTGGAGGTTGCAATGAGGGGAGGTTGCAGTGAGCGGAGGTTGCAGTGAGCTGAGATTGTGTCACTGCACTGCCTGGGTGACAGAGCAAGACTCCATCTCAAAATAATAAATAAATAAATAAATAAATAAATGAATAAATAAAGTCGGCCCTCAGTATCTGTGTGGCGGGGGGACTGGTTCCAAGACCCACCTCCCCAGTGCTCAAGTCCTTGATATAAAATGGCATAGTTTTTGCATATAACCTATATACATCCTCTTGTATACTTCAGACTTGTGGAGTTTTTTTTTTAATGGAGAACTGGGTCTCACTATGTTGCCCAGGCTGGTCTTGAAGTCCTGGGCTCGGGTGATCCGCTCCCCCTTGCCTCCCTAAGTGCTGGGATTACAGGTGTGATCCACGGCACCCAGCCAAGGGGCAACTACATTGAAAAGTCAGCTGTTTTTATAACCTGGCCCTTTTCCATTTGTGATCTAGGTCTCGCCCTTTTTCCTGTTCAAGCACATTGTTCTTGCAGTTTTCGCTCTCAAATTTCTTTTCTGGAGTAACCCAATCAGCATAGGTTAGAGCATGTTTTTTTTTTTTTTTTGAGACGGAGTTTCGCTCTTGTTGCCCAGGCTGGAGTGCAATAGCTCAGTCTCGGCTCACAGCAACCTCCGCCTCCCGGGTTCAAGTGATTCTCCTGCCTCAGCCCTCTGAGTAGCTGGGATTACAGGTGCCTGCCACCATGCCTGGTTAATTTTATATTTTTAGTAGAGATGGGCTTTCACCGTGTTGGCCAGGCTGTTGTCGAACTCCTGACCTCAGATGATCTGCCCACCTTGGCCTCCCAAACTGCTGGGATTACAGGCGTGAGCCATCGTGCCCGGCCCCAAATGGCCTTTTAAACTGTGAATCAGGTCACGTCATTCCCTGTGACCTGTTATTTTTGCTGTCGTCCACGGGGCCTTGACGATGTGGTTCACAAATCTTATGATGATCTCTGACCTCATCACAGCCGCCGCCCCTGGTTCTCTCATCTACTCAGACTTTCGCAGTCAGCCTCCACACGGGCTCTTGGGCCTCAGGTGGCCTCCCGCGGCGTGCCTGTGGCTTGTTCCATTTCCTTGCTGAGGTCTGTGCCCAAATGTCATTCCTCCCGGACGCCTGTCTCTGGAATCCACGCTGCCATCCCAGCTTCCCAGTTGCAGCCGTGATCTTACCCGCCCTGTTTTCTTTCTGTTACTTCTCGGTGTCTGAAATGAGTTTCCTGTTTATATTCTTGTTTATTGTCTGCCTCTCCCACTGGAGGAGGAGCCCCACGAGGGTAGCAGCCTCATCTGCTCTTAACTGAATCTCTTGTGCTTAGAACGAGCCTGGCACACAGTGGGCGCTCACTTAATATCTGCTGAATCACTTTCAGCTCTTACCAGTTACAAAACATAGCGGGGAAAGCACAGGGTGCTGACAACAGCGTATCTCCTACACATCAGTAAGTCAAAGATAAGCAACTTTGACACTGTTGGTGGGAGGGTCAATTAGTTCAACCATTGTGGAGGACAGTGTGGTGATTCCTCAGGGATCTAGAACCAAAAACACCATTTGACCCAGCAATCCCATTACTGGGTGTATACCCAAAGGATTGTAAATCATTCTTCTGTAAAGACACATGCACACGTATGTTTATTGCAGCACTGTTTACGATAGCAAAGACTTGGAACCAACCCAAATGCCCATCAATGATAGACTGGATAAAGAAAATGTGGCACATATACACCATGGAATACTATACAGCCATAAAAAAGAATGAGTTCATGTCCTTTGCAGGGACATGGATGAAGCTGGAAGACATCATTCTCAGCAAACTAACACAGCAACAGAAAACCAAACACTGCATGTTCTCACTCATAAATGGGAGTTGAACAATGAAAACACGTGGACACAGGGAGGGGAACATCACACACTGGGGCCTGTTGGCAGGTGGGGGCCTAGGGGAGGGATAGCATTAGGAGAAATACCTAATGCATGCGGGGCTTAAAACCTTGATGACAGGTTGATGGGTGCAGCAAACTACCATGGCACATGTATTCCTACGTAACAAACCTGCACATTCTGCACATGTATCCCAGAACTTTAAAAAAAAAAAAAAAAAGATAGTCCGAGCACGGTGGCTCACACCTGTAATCCCAGCACTTTGGGAGGCCGAGGTGGGCGGATCACCTGAGGTCAGGAGTTCGAGACCAACCTGGCCAATGTGGTGAAACCCGATCTCTACTAAAAATAGAAAAATTAGCCGGCAAGGTGGTGCATGCCTGTAATCCCAGCTACTCGGGAGGCTGAGGCAGAGAATTCGTTGAACCCGGGAGGCAGAGGTTGCAGTGAGCCAAGATCGTGCCACTGTACTCCAGCCTGGGCAACAGAGCGAGACTCTGTTTGCCCCACCACCCCGCCCCCCTAAAAAAAAAAAAAAGGATAAGCAACAAAAATGACTTGTCATTTTTTCCCCCTAGCGAACTGGAAAAATGAATGACAGTGATAATGTTGGTGAAGGTTGGGAAATGGGCTCTCTCATTTGCCACTGGTGGAAAAATATAAAACGGTCTGAGCTTTCCTGAGCGGTGAGTCATGGGTAATTTTCAATCCCAATTTGTGTGGTTTTGCTGTTTCCCGACTTTTTTCCAGTGATTTTTTTTCTCCAAGAATTCCTTTTTAAACCAGAAAAATTCAATCATTTTAATCTTCCTTTTCTAAAAAAAATTAACCTGACTCAGTCCTTGTACAGCAAACTTATGAAGCTGATCCCCGTGGCAGGATGGTCTTGTTCTGTTGTTGAACCTCTTAAGGATGTTTAATCTGAATTCTGTACCAAGTTTCTCTGGAATGATGCCATCGTGGAATTTAAAAACTGGGGCCGGGTGCGGTGGCCCACGCCTGTAATCTCAGCACTGTGGGAGGCCGAGGCGGGTGGATCACCTGAGGTCAGGAGTTCCAGACCAGCCTGGCCAATGTGGCGAAACCCTATCTCTACTGAAAATAGAAAAATTAGCTGGACGTGGAGGTGGGTGCCTGTAATCCCAGCTACTCGGGAGGCTGAGGCAAGAGAATCGCTTGAACCCTAGAGGTGGAGGTTGCAGTGAGCCTAGATCACACCATTGCACTCTAGCCTGGGTGACAGAGTAAGACTCCATTAAAAAAAAAAAAAAAAAAGGCCAGGCACGGTGGCTCACACCTGTAATCCCAGCACTTTGTGAGGCCGAGGTGGGTGGATCACCTGAGGTCAGGAGTTCGAGACCAGCCTGGCCAACATGGTGAAACCCCGTCTCTACTAAAAATATAAAAACTAGCCGGGTGTGGTAGGGGGCACCTGTAATCCCAGCTACTTGGGAGGCTGAGGCAGGGGAATTGTTTGAACCTGAGAGGTGGAGGTTGCAGTGAGCCAAGATCGTGCCACTGCACTCCAGCCTGGGTGACAGAGCGAGATTCTGTTTAAAAAAAACCAAAAAACAAAAAAAACTGGATGTGCAGGATTGTTCTTGTTGTGAGGTCCCGGGCTGGTTTTGTAAGCCCCCCGGAAAGGTGGGGCTGGGAAAAACATGCAGATTGAAAGCAGGGCCCACCCAGATTGAAGTGGGGTCCCACAGCCCTTCCTGCCAAGATACAGGTCTCCACAGACAGGGAAGCCCAGCATTGTGTGGCAGATCCCCTGCCCTGCCCCTCACCGCTTCGGATGGAACTCGGGACAATCCTCATCCCACCACCAATGCCCTCTTCCCTCTGCTGCTGCCCTTCTCATGCCTGCTTGGCTGCCACACATCCTTGCCCTGTTCTGCCCAAGGGCGTAGCCTTCCTGCCGGGACCCTCAAGCCCCCAGCAGGGAGGCTCAGAGCCGAACGGCCTAAACAGTGGGGCACTCTGCAGCTTCCCTGCTTCTGTCTTTTCTGGAGGAACACAGCCCAACAATGCATTTATTTTATTTATTTATTTTTTTGAGACGGAGTCTCACTCTGTCACCCAGGCTGGAGTGCAGTGGTGTGATCCTGGCTCACCGCAAGCCCCGCCTCCCGGGTTCACGCCATTCTCCTGCCTCAGCCTCCCGAGTAGCTGGGACTACAGGCGCCCGCCACCACGCCCGGCTAATTTTTTGTAATTTTTAGTAGAGAAGGGGTTTCACCGTGTTAGCCAGGATGGTCTCGATCTCCTGGCCTCGTGATCCACCCGCCTCAGCCTCCCAAAGTGCTGGGATTACAGGTGTGAGCCACCGCACCCGGCCACGTCCAGCTAATTTTTTGTATTTTTAGTAGAGACGGGGTTTCACCGTGTTGGCCAGGATGGTCTCGATCTCCTGACCTCATGATCCACCCACCTCGGCCTCCCAAAGTGCTGGGATTACAGATGTGAGCCACCACGCCCAGCTAATTTTTGTATTTTAAGTAGAGACGGGGTTCCACCATGTTGCCCAGGCTGGTCTTGAACTCCTGACCTCAGGTGATCCTCCCAAAGCGCTGGGATCACAGGTGTGAGCCACCGTGCCCGGCCCCGACATTGCATTTAATTATGTGGCTTTTTGGGCTTGGCGGGGAGGTTCGAGAGCACCCAGTCACCTGCCCATATGGCGTTCACCCCGACGGCAGTGAACGAACACAGGAGGCTTCACCCCGATGGCGAACAGAGGCCGCCCACGCTTGGCTTCCAGCCCTGGGCTTTGCATTGACATTTTGTCAGCTTTATTCCTCTTAGACCCTGGACCTCTGACCGTGTGCACAGCCAACCTCAAGAATCTGACAGTAGACTGAAGCGTGTTTTACGCGGCACCGAGAGCCGAGGGTTGGGGCTGGCCCTGGGCATTGCTTCCCTGGTGCTTTGTGGGCTGAACGTAACGACGACTGTGATATTTCAAGTGCAGGGACCTGGTGAAGGGCTGAGGGACCTGGTGAAGGGCTGAGGGGGCAGATGTTAACTCCGTGGCCTTCTGTCAGAAAACCCGTCTCTTCTCCCTTGAGGGGAAGGGGCCGTGGAGAGCGGCTGCTGTTGCCTGCTGCCAGGGTGGCGAGGCTCTCGTGAAAACCTTCCCTTCCTTCCTTAACCACCTGGTGGTCTGATTGTGTTCTGAAGATGTGGAATCCATCTTCATCTTTGTGATTTTTAGAGACGTGGAAGGGTAGTACTCTCCAGGATGAGTGTGGTCCTCCATCAGCCTCCGCCTCTGAGTCCCCTATGCTGTTGCAGACTATGGGGGCCAGTGGGGTCATCAGCCTCCACCTCCAAGTCCCCCACACTGTCGCAGACCCCGGGGGGCAGTGGGACCATCACCTCCCTCCTCGGAGCCCCCCGCACTGTCACAGACCCCGGGGGGCAGTGGGATTGTAGTTAACGTGCCCCTTTGCCCAGCAGCCCTGCTTGGCATCCATTATTCTTTTCTGTGTGCTTGAATGCTTGCCTGTTCATCCAGCCTCCAGACCTAAGGGGCTCAAAAGAACTCTGCAATGAATCTGGTTTGGACTTAACCACCTTCTTTTGCTTTTCTTCATACAGCTCAAACTTTGGAACAAATACCGAATTTCCAACATTCCATCACTAATATTCCTCGACGCCACCACTGGGAAGGTTGTGTGCAGGAACGGGCTGCTGGTGATCCGAGATGACCCAGAAGGTAAAACCTCAGCCCGTGCATATGGTCCTCTTATTACCCAGCCCTCCCTCCTCCATGCCCTTAGGCTAATCTCCGTCCCACCGGTGGAGAGAGTACTGGTGAAATAGATACACGTGGGTTTACGTGGTAGAGAATGTCGTCTTGGTGAAATCATAGTATTCCCTAGGACATGGTTTTAAGATTTTCACAGGGATCAGAATGTCCCTCCTAGGGGCTTTAATTCATGGGCCAAAAGAGATGGACTCTGCCGTAAGAAGCTCCGCTTGGAGGGCCGCAGAGGCTGTGGGAAAGCGGAGAGCTCAGACCCCGGCCTCTAGTGCTGCATCCGTGGCGGCTGCCCCCTTCACAGTTAGAGGCAGGCTGAGTGGGGTTTTTCCTCTTTAAAACATTACATAGCGAAGTCCCAGCCCCCGTGTCACTCTCCTGGCCTTGGCGGTGAGTGCACCTCGTTGCTTGGAGCTGTCACTCCCTGCGGGCCTTGGTCTTGCTGGCTACGCGTGGGCTGTGCTCCTCCAGCCGCCCCGCTCAGGGCCGTCCGCGTGGCGTCTTTCCCTCTGGCAGTGAGTGAGAACAGGGCTGTGAGATCTCCTCCCCTCACTTAATCCGTCCAGTGAGAAGATTCAACCCCGCTCACACATTTTCCCAGTAAAAATGCCACCTACTTCAAAGAATTGTCCTCAGTAAAAACCACGGCATGGTGGAACCAAGCGTGAAGCTTTTCTTTTTTTTTTTTTTTTTTCTCTTGAGACACTATCTCCCTCTGTCGCCCAGGCCGAGTGCTGTGGCATGATCCCGGTTCACTGCAGCCTCGACCTCCTGAGCTCAACTCATCCTCCCGTGTAGCTGGGACTACTGGCGTGCACCGCCACACCCAGCTAATTTTTTATTATTTGTAGAGACGGGGTCTCCCTAGGCTTGCCCAGGCTGGTCTCAAAACTTTTGAGCTCAAGCAATCCGCCCACCTCGGCCTCCCAAAGTGCTGGGATCGTGGGGCTGAGCCGCAGAGCCTGGTCCCCGTGTGGATCCCGAGCCCGACCTCCAGAGCATTGTGGATCCCTCTTGTTTCCGGGGAGGCCCGACCACCTGCATTTTCAACCAGCCTGTGCTCCTCCTTCCCAGCCCCCAAGCGACTTTGAGGCAGCAGGTCCTTGGACCACCCTGTGAGAAAACGTGGTTCAGTTGAGCGGGAAGCGTATTCTCAACTCCCCCTACCTGGAGCTTAGGTGTCATCAGAACATGGACCATCTGGGCTGGGTGGGTTTTACTCTTTTCTTTTATTAGACTTAAATTCTCACTTGGCTCCCTGAGCCCATCAAGAGCAATAGAATCAGAATCTCTGGGCGTGGGGCCCAGGAGCGTGGTATTTTAAACTCCCCAGCTGATTCCAAGTACAGTCAGAGCTGACAGCCGCTGGGATGTGACGGCCGGGATGTGAATCCACAATCCCGGGTATCGGGTTGATTCCCGAGGCCCCGAGGCGATGATTCCCAAACCGAGTCCCTCGTCAGTTCTGGGGAGCCTGTTTCATTTTGCACGTACATCTTTGCGTTGCCCCTGGGTCTCCAGCCTCAGGATGTGGCCTGGGCGTTTGTACTTTTCAAAAGCCCCTGGAAGGGCCAGGTGCGGTGGCTCACGCCTGTAATTCCAGCACTTTGGGAGGCTGAGGCGGGTGGATCACGAGGTCAGGAGATCGAGGCCATCCTGGCTAACACGGTGAAACCCCATCTCTACTAAAAATAAATAGAAAAAAAACATTAGCCGGGCCTGGTGGCGGGCACCTGTAGTCCCAGCTACTTGGGAGGCTGAGGCCGGGGAATGGCGTGAACCCGGGAGGCGGAGCTTGCAGTGAGCTGAGATTGCGCCACTGCACTCCAGCCGGGGCGACAGAGTGAGACTCTACCTCAAAAAAAAAAAAAAAAAAAAATGTCCCTGGAAGACAGACCTTGTGACCCATCCAGGTTTGGGAACCGTTGCCAGGAGGGCAGGGAATGGCTCTAGTTTGATTCCTGTGTTAGCTGCAGACGCTGTAGGTGTGTTGACAAGTACTGTTTGATGATTATCTTGTCACGCCTGCCGCTCTGAGGTCTCCCGGGTCCCAGGTCATCAAGAAGAGTCTTAACCGCTCTGAAGTCTCCTGGGTCCCAGGTCATCAAGAAGGGTCTAAGCCCTCTTTTACCATCTGTTTTCTGTTTCAGGTCTGGAGTTCCCCTGGGGACCGAAACCCTTCAGGGAAGTCATTGCAGGGCCCTTGCTTAGAAACAATGGGCAGTCTCTGGAGAGCAGCAGCCTGGAGGGGTCTCACGTGGGCGTCTATTTCTCCGCACATTGGGTGAGTGTTTGGACCCCCTTTGGCTCAGACAGAAGGAAGCAGTGATGTTCCCAGCAGGCCCAGCTGTGGTTGGCTTCTGGGGGTGAGACACCCAGGCAGGAATTTCCCGGCCTTCTGGCCTTCTCCTGTGCCCGAGGCCTGGTTGAATAGTGCTTATGATTATGAATGAAAAAAGCAGCAAGAAATGACTTCTTTGACTGATCTATAACGATAGCCCTCTTTTTTTTTTTTCTGAGCCAGAGTCTCGCTCTGTTACCCAGGCTGGAGTGCAGTGGCGCGATCTCAGTTCACTGCAACCTTTGCCTCCTGGGTTCAAGTGATTCTCCTGCCTCAGCCTCCAGAGTAGCTGGGATTACAGGTGCATGCCACCACGCCTGACTAATTTTTGTATTTTTAATAGAGACAGGGTTTTGCCATGTTGGCCAGGCTGGTCTCGAACTCCTGACCTCAGGTGATCTGCCCGCCTCGGCCTCCCAAAGTGCTGGGATTACAAGCATGAACCATCGTGCCTGGCCCCCTTTTTTTTTTTTTTGAGACAGAGTCTTGCTCTGTCGCCTAGGCTGGAGTGCAGTGGCACAATCTCAACTCACCGCACCCTCTGTCTCCCGGGTTCAAGTGATTCTTCGGCCTCAGCTTTTGAAGTAGCTGGGGCTCCAGGCGCACACTACCAAACCCGGCTAATTTTTGTATTTTTAGTAGAGATGGGGTTTCTCCATGTTGGTCAGGCTGGTCTTGAACTCCTGAACTCAGGTGATGCACCCACCTTGGCCTCCCAAAGTGCTGGGGTGACAGGCGTGAGCCACTGCACCCAGCCTGGATATTTCTCTCAATCCATGTGGATGAGTTCATGCTACCTGCTCACACACTGCATAGGGACAATGCGGGTGCTTGTGCCAGATGCCCACCATTAAGAGAGGCAAGTTTATTTTTGCCTCATGCAGGAGGCTAGGTCTTGCTGTGTTGCCCAGGCTGGCCTCAAACTCCTGGGCTCAAGCGATCTTCTGACCTCAGCCTCCCAGGTAGCCACCATACCCATCTCATTTCCACCCCTTTCATGAACGGGATTTTGCTGTCCCAGTCCTGCTTGAGTCCTGCTAACCCGGCCTTGGATGGTGAGTGGCTGGGAGGTGGAGAAGCAGCGTGACGCAGCGGGTCTTGCTGTCCTGTCTTTCAGTGTCCGCCCTGCCGAAGCCTCACCCGGGTCCTGGTGGAATCCTACCGGAAGATCAAGGAGGCAGGCCAGAACTTCGAGATCATCTTCGTTAGTGCAGACAGGTCAGTCGTGCCGTGAAGTGCTGGGCCCCTTTTCTGTAGGTAGCTGACATCCATTTTTTTTCTTTTCTTTTTTTTCTGAGACAGAGTCTTGCTCTTGTCTCCCAGGCTGGAGTGCAGTGGTGTGATCTCAGCTCACTGCAACCTCCACCTCCTGGGTTCAAGCGATTCTCCTGCCTTAGCCTCCTGAGTAGCTGGAATTACAGGTGCCCGCCACCATGCCCGGCTAATTTTTGTATTTTTAGTGGAGATGGGGTTTCACCATGTTGGCCAGGCTGGTCTCAAACTCCTGACCTCATGAGGCGCCCACCTTGGCCTTCCAGAGTGCTGGGATTACAGGTGTGAGCCACCGCACCCAGCCACATTTACTCCTTTAATCGTCTGAAGGGGAGCTGAGGAAAACCTCTTCTTGCTGTAAATACTGGGGGATGTCCCAATTCAGGCCTGGATTGTTTGAGATTAGGACGTATTTTCTGATTTGCTCAGCTTTTTAGATTGTGGTGAAGAGACAGGGAAGGGGGAGGAAGGGGGAGGATGGAAAAGAGCCAGAGACGAATGTAATCAGACACCTGTCTTGGATGGCTGTTTTTTGTTTTTTGGGTTTTTTTTGAGACGGAGTCTCGCTCTGTCGCCCAGGCTGGGGTGCAGTGGTGCGATCTTGGCTCACTGCAAGCTCCACCTCCCGGGTTCACGCCATTCTCCTGCCTCAGCCTCTCGAATAGCTGGGACTACAGGCGCCCACCAGCATGCCTGGCTAATTTTTTGTATTAGCCATGGGGTTTCACCATGTTAGCCAGGATGGTCTCGATCTCCTGACCCCGTGATCCTCCTGCCTTGGCCTCCCAAAATGCTGGGATTACAGGCATGAGCCACCGCGCCCGGCCGGATGGCTGTTATCTCAGCTCTGGCCCTTTGCTGTGTCTGGTGCTATTTGAATGTACACGGATACACGCGGATAAGGAATCACAAAACAGGCATTCTTCCCGGAGTCAGTCAGCTCCTCTGAGCCTCAGTTTCCTCTGCTTATTGCCCTCTCTAAGGCCTCACTTATCAGTGAATTTCCTTCACCTCAAAACTCCCGCCCCAGTTTAGACTGAGTCACCAGTGGCCTCTGCCGCTTATGTTCCTGTTCCCAAAAGGATCCGAGATGCCGGCACACACAGGGCACTTTGTACATTGTTGTATCTGCGGTGTCCACACCATCCTGGGCTTGGCTTATTGGCCCGCAGTCCTGCTCTGCCATGCCACAGCTCCCGCCTCTGCCGTGCCACAGCTCCCGTCTCTGCCATGCCACAGCTCCCCGTCTCTGCCGTGCCGCAGCTCCCCGTCTCTGCCATGCCACAGCTCCCGTCTCTGCCATGCCACAGCTCCCGTCTCAGCGTGAAGCCGTGCCAGGTGCAGCAGTCAGTTTTTTTTTTTGTTTTTTTTTTTTTTTTTAGGTGGAGTCTCGCTCTGTTGCCTAGGCTAGAGTGCAGTGGTGCGATCTTAGCTCATTGCAACCTCCACCTTCTGGGTTCAAGTGATCCTCCCACCTCAGCCTCCTGAGTAGCTGGGACTACAGGCGCCGGCCACCACACCCGGCTAATTTTTGTATTTTTAGTAGAGATGCGGTTTTTCCATGTTGCCCAGGCTGGTCTGGAACTCTAGGGCTTAAGTAATCCACCCACCTTGGCCTCTCAAAGTGATGGGATTACAGGTGTGAGCCACCATGTCTGGCCACAATCACTTTTTTTTTTTTTTTTTTTTTTGAGACAGAGTCTCGCTCTGTCGCCCGGGCTGGAGTGCAGTGGCACGATCTCGGCTCACTGCAAGCTCCGCCTCCTGGGTTCACGTCATTCTCCTGCCTCAGCCTCCCAAGTAGCTGGGACTACAGGCGCCCACCACCATGCCCAGCTAATTTTTTTGTATTTTTAGTAGAGATGGGGTTTCACCGTGTTAGCCAGGACGGTCTCGATCTCTTGACCTCATGATTCACCTGCCTTGGCCTCCCAAAGTGCTGGGATTACAGGGGTGAGCCACCACGCCTGGCCACAGTCCCTTTTTTAAAGTTTTAAGCATCAACTTTATTGAGGCATAATGTATATATTGTAAAATGCATGCATTTAAGGTACACAGTTCAGCTGACCAATGTACGTACCATGTTACCACCATCATCACAGACAAGGCACGGAACAAAGGTACACAGTTCAGCTGACTGATGTACGTACCACGTAACCACCATCATCACAGACAAGACACGGAACATTTTCATCACTCCGTAGGTTCCTTGGGTCGGTCTCCGCTCATAAACCCCAGCCCCACATGGGTCTGTCTCTACCTATAAACCCAGCCCTGGGATCCCCTGATCCGCTTCTGCCGCTTGAGTAGGTGTGCCTTTCCTAGGGTTTTTTACATGGGGAATCATAGGTATATGGTTGGTTTAAATTTGAGGTCCCATATGAGTCACTGTTCCGTGCACAAATTAGAACTCCCGCGGGTATGCAGTGGCTGTGCACATCTGAGCTCTGAGGCAAGAAAGACCTGTCTGTGCTGAGAAATGGAAAGTTGGACCTGAGTTGCGTTGCCTGGATGGGAGCTGCTGAAGTGGGCTGGCGTCTTAGCCGGCACCCACCTGCTGTGTGGAGGCATTTGCTTCTTGGTGGACACCAGCCGGGGTAGAATAACACACTCCCATAGCCTGTTGCCTAAGGAGCACAGTGGTTAGAAACCCCGGCTTCTGCAGAATCCCTGGGCAGAACTCGGCAGAGGTGGGAGGATTCAGCGTTGGTGCAGTGGGGATACTGAGCCTTGCCCGCCACGTGTGTCTCTCTGTAGGTCGGAGGAGTCCTTCAAACAGTACTTCAGTGAGATGCCCTGGCTCGCCGTCCCCTACACGGATGAGGCCCGGCGGTCGCGCCTCAACCGGCTGTACGGAATCCAAGGTAGGCGCTCCAGGCCCCGGCTCCGTGTGGCTCCTGGAAACCTGCTCACCTGAGCTCACCGTGTCTTTGGCTTTCCTTTAAGAAGAAGAGCATCATTATTTCCATGAATATTCATGTGCCTTTCATGTTTCTCAGCAGTGTAGAATTTTCATGGTGTGAATTCTAAGCCATTTTTAAAAAATAAGTATTGTCAGGCCGGGCATGGCAGCTCACACTGTAACCCCAGCACTTTGGGAGGCTGAGGCAGGTGGATCACCTGAGCTCAGGAGTTCGAGACCAGTTTGGACAACACGGTGAAACCCGGTCTCTACTAAAAATACAAAAATTAGCTGGGCGTGGTGGCGGGTGCCTGTAGTACCAGCTACTCAGGAGGCTGAGGCAGGGGAATTGCTTGAACCCAGGAGGCAGAGGTTGCAGTGAGCCGAGATTGTGCTATTGCACTCCAACCTGGGCAACAGAGGGAGACTCTGTCTCAAAAAATACTACTACTAAATACTGTCTTAGTAAGACAGCTACTTCTCACTGTCCAGCATGGTGCATTTCTTTTTTTTTTTGAGACGGAGTCTCACTCTGTTGCCCAGGCTGGAGTGCAGTGGTGCGATCTCCGCTCACTGCAAGCTCCGCCTCCCGGGTTCACGCCATTCTCCTGCCTCAGCCTCCCCAGTAGCTGGGACTACAGGCGCCCACCACACGCCCGGCTAAATTTTTTGTATTTTTAGTAGAGATGGGGTTTCACCATGTTGGCCAGGATGGTCTCGATCTCTTGACCTCGTGATCTGCCCGCCTCGACCTCCCAAAGTGCTGGGATGACAGGCGTGAGCCACTGCACCCGGCCCATGGTGGATTCTAATATGATTGGGACACGGAGCACAGCCTCCCAAATGACTTGGCCAGAATCTTATCCCAAAGGTTTACTGTGAAAGAGACTTGAGAGTGATCTCCAGTTTCATCACTCAGAGTCTTTGGGCCTCAGTTTCCTTGTCTGCAAAGTGGGGTGGTAAAGCTTTGCCACAGAGAATTGTTGGGAGCATGAATAAGTAAAGTATGTAAAGAGGCGTGATAGTGAGGGCTGAGTGGGTATCACCTTCTCGGTGAGAAAATCAATTTCCTGAGAGTGTTGTAAACTAGGACTTAGAGTACTAATCATGGTGTTTTTCAGAAATTATATATATATTTTTAAGTCAGGGTCTCACCGTGTCGCCCAGGCTGGAGTGCAGTGGCGTGATCTCGGCTCACCACAACCTCTGCCTCCAGGGCTCAAGCCATCCTCTCACCTCAGCCTCCCGAGTAGCTGGGACTACAGGTGCACACCACCACTCCCTGCTCATTTTTTTGTATTTTTAGTAGAGATGAAGTTTTGCCATGTTGCCCAGGCTGGTCTCGAACTCATGGGCTCAAGTGATCCACCCGCCTCGGCCTCCCAAAGTGCTGGGATGACAGGCGTGAGCCACTGCACCCAGCCGGAAATAATGATTGTTAATGAGACTGAATGTATTTTTATTCTTTATCGTGTGAATACCTCCTTCCCAGCCTTCACCCAGCCAGGTTTTTCTCTTCACAAAGCAGGTAACTGGGCAGTCTGAGTTAAACGCGTTCTCTTTGTATCATTAGTGGCAGATGCTTGTCAGCTGTAAACAGATACAGCTAATAATTGAGTTCTCAGCACTCCTAGGGTTACAGAGAGTGAAAAAAAAGACAAATCCAGATTTACCCAGAAGTTCTGCGCCTGAGGGGCATCTCATCAGGCTCTTTTTTTTTTTTTTTTTTCCTGAATTGGAGTCTTGCTCTGTCGCCCTGGCTGGAGTGCAGTGGCGCAATCTTGGTTCACTGCAAGCTCCGCCTCCCGGGTTCACGCCATTCTCCTGCCTCAGCCTCCCCAGTAGCTGGGACCACAGGCACCCACCACACGCCCGGCTAAATTTTTTGTATTTTTAGTAGAGATGGGGTTTCACCATGTTGGCCAGGATGGTCTCGATCTCTTGACCTTGTGATCCGCCCACCTCGGCCTCCCAAAGTGCTGGGATTACAGGCGTGAGCCACCACGTCTGGCCTCATTAGGCTCTTTGACCTTTTTTCTTCACCATTTAGAATACATATATGGGTTTGTTTGGAGCAGAAGTTTTAAAAAAAATAATATTTAATTTTAGATTGGTGCTTCTCAATCCCAAGTACATATGAGAATCACCTGGAGATCTGAAAATGGAGATTTGGATTTGGTGGGGCTAAGCGGGAGCTGAGAGACTGTTTCTGAGCAGCCTCCAGGCAGTGCTGATGTTGCCAGCCCATGGACCACACTTGGAGTATTAATAGTCTAGATCCATTCGTTAATCCTAGGGGAATTTGGGGTGTGTCGGGGGGTGCTGCTGCCTCCTGTTAACAGCATAAATGAAAGCGTTTGCTTTCCAAACAAAAGTTGAGGGACATGATGTTGCCTAGTGGACCAGAAGAAAAGGCCCCAAGTTGGAGATGCCAAGGAGGTCAGCGCTTACTCCTGCCTGGCCCTCTGCAGAGACACTTAAGGTGCCCGTGCCTGGGGGTAGGAGCTGTGTTTGTTGAGATAAGTTTCGGGATGCCCCTACGCCAGTGGTCCTGAATAGCTGGCTGAATTACCACTGTGTGGGGGTCAGGAGGGCTTCCCATCTCTTAATTCATTTATTCGTTCATTGCTGAGTGAATGTCTTTACTGAGGGCTGACTGGATGCCATTGCATTCTGCCTGGGATTGGAGTCACAGACTTGAATAAAACAGATACAGGTCCTGCCCTTTGCAGAGCGTATAGGTCTAGAGCGGAGACTCACCCTAATCGTGCAGATGGATGTCAGTTGAACTGTGAGTGCTTTGAATGCGAAGCCGCCAGTGCTGGGGTAGGGAGATTTGGCCTCGTCGGGGAGACCAGAGAAGACCAAGGATGCCCCAGGGGATCTGGAAACCAAGTAGGAACGGACCAAGCAGATGGTGGAGGGAAGGTCCCGGCAGACGGAACCGCACGTGCAGAGGCCCGGCCGACACGTTTTCTTGCAGAAGGATCTTGGCTGCAACGTCACAGGATAGACCTGGCCTGGTCCTCACAGGGCACTCTCCTTAGAGACCATGACAGGGACAGTGAAGGTCTGGGGGGCTGTAAGCATTTTGCACTTTAAAAAAATACATGGGTTGTACTTTGTCCTTCTAATCCATGGGATTCAGGTCTTCGTCCCCAGAACGACTCTGTGTTAATTAAAAGCGACGTGACTGCCTGATTGTAACTGGACAGTGGGAAGGGGTTTCGGCCTCAGCTTCCAGTTGCAACCAGAGGCCCTTGGAGGGGCTACAGGTGAGATGCTAGTCAGCTACGTAGGGCCCAGGTCTCTCCCAAGCGTTACCGAGCGCCGTGTCCTGCCCCTCCTGATGGCTGTGGATTTTCCATCCTTTCTCCATACAGAGATATCCTGGGTTTCTTCTAATCCCTGTTCCCCTTATACACCAGGAGGTGATGGTCTCTGATGTGTGTCTTCCTCCGACTCCCCTAACAAAGGCCCGCCGGTCACATTCAGGCCCCTCTTATCCTCCCTACTGGCCTCTGTGTGTGCACGTGTGTGCACAGGTGTGTACAAAGTGTGACTCTGTTTGACGTGGCTGGGTCTTGGAGCACCCCTCACACATGATCCGGAGGCACGTTAAACGTTCAGGCCAAGAAGAACGTTTTTATCTTGAATAAAACAGATAACAGGCCCTGCGCTTTGCAGAGCTTAGGGATCTAGAGTGGACACTGGCCCTCATTGTACGGATGGATGTCAGCTGAACTGTGGGTGCCTCATCGCCTTCAAAACCTACAGAGCTTAGGGATCTAGAGTGGACACTCGCCCTCATCATACGGATGGAAGTCAGCTGAACTGTGAGTGCCTCATCGCCTTCAAAACCTACAGAGCTTAGGGATCTAGAGTGGACACTCGCCCTCATCATACGGATGGAAGTCAGCTGAACTGTGAGTGCCTCATCGCCTTCAAAACCTACAGAGCTTAGGGATCTAGAGTGGACACTCGCCCTCATCGTACGGATGGGTGTCAGCTGAACTGTGAGTGCCTCGTCGCCTTCAAAACCTACAGAGCTTAGGGATCTAGAGTGGACACTCGCCCTCATCATACAGATGGAAGTCAGCTGAACTGTGGGTGCCTTGTCGCCTTCAAAACCTACAGAGCTTAGGGATCTAGAGTGGACACTGGCCCTCATCATATGGATGGATGTCAGCTGAACTGTGAGTGCCTCATCGCCTTCAAAACCTACCGGGTGGCAGGCTTTTGTTTTTATCTTTTGTATACTTTGAATTTCATTATGAACCACAATTATTTTCTTTGCTTTAGCACCTAGAAGACTCAGCTGAATTTGTAACTACTGCCTAGGCATGGTGGCTCACGCCTGTAATCCCTGGACTTTGGGAGGCCGAGGTGGGTGGATCACCTGAGGTCAGGAGTTCGAGATCAGCCTGGCCAACATGGCGAAACCCCATCTCTACTAAAAATACAAAAATTAGCCAGGCGTGGTGGTGGTCACCTATAATCCCAGCTACTCGGGAGGCTGAGGCAGGAGAATCACTTGAACCTGGGAGGCGGAGGTTGTAGTGAGCCGAGATCACACCACTGCACTCCAGCCTGGGTGACAAGAGTGAAATTCCTCCCTAAGTGCTGGGATTACAGGCGTGAGCCACTGCGCCCGGCCGGATTTGATGTATTGAGTGCGTGCTAACCATCCCATACTCTCCGTACTGAGCTCCACGGGAAGTCACTAGGAGAGGGGCCCAGTGCTGCCCTTGAGTGGACAGGATGAGATGGACAGTTGGGCATATCTGAGGAGCGGAGTGTGATGACGTCTTCACGAACACGACAGTGTTGGTCCGAGTACGTGTCATTTCGTACGAGGGCCTGGAAGACGGACACTTGTCACTTAGAGTGGAGCTGCTGCCGCGCCCCCTCTCTGCTGCTCCATTGGGTCAGGAGGCCTTTCCACATAGAGGCATTTTCTTTCCCAGCACCTCATCATCCGTGGAGCAGAATCTTCCTCTCTGAGGTACGGAGTTCCTTCCTGGATGTGAGGGCCCGTGGGTTGCCGGTATTGCTGGTGGCCAACGCTCAGGCCAGGGGGTCACCTGAAACTAATAAGGTACCCTAGGACAGCCTTTTTTCTTTTTTTCTTTTCTTTTTTTTGAGACAGAGTCTCACTCTATCACCCAGGCTGGAGTGCAGTGGCGCAATCTCTGCTCACTACATCTGCCTTCCGGGTTCACGCCGTTCTCCTGCGTCAGCCTCCGGAGTAGCTGGGATTATAGGCACCCACCACCACACCTGGCTAACTTTTTGTATTTTTAGTAGAGACAGGGTTTCACCATGTTGGCCAGCCTGGTCTTGAGCTCCTGACCTCATGTGATCTGCCTGCCTTGGCCTCCCAAAGTGCTGGGATTACAGGCATGAGTCACCGTGCCCGGCTCTTTTTTTTTTTAGACAGAGTCTTGCTCTGTTACCCAGAGGCTGGAGTACATTGGCACAATCTTGGCTCACTGCAACCTCTGCCTCCCGGGTTCAAGCGATCTTCCTGCCTCAGCCTCCTGAGTAGCTGGGATTATAGGCACCTGCCACTACGCCCAGCTAATTTTTGTATTTTTAGTAGAGACAGAGTTTCTCCATTTGACCAGGCTGGTCTCAAACTCCTGACCTCGTGATGTGCCCGCCTTGGCCTCCCAAAGTGCTGGGATTACAGGCGTGAGCCACCGCGCCCGGCCGGCCGTAGTCTCTTAAACAAAAAAAAAATGCTGAAGTTAAATACCAAATATGCATGCACTTCTTGACACACAGAAACGTCAGTGGCATGAGTTTGATTCATACTTCTAAACTTAATTCCAGATCCTCCTAGTTTTGAAAGATGCTCACGTATTAAGGAAATCATTATATCATTCCAGGGATATCACTTTGGAAGCGCCTTCTCAGCGCTTCGAGGTTGGGCTGAGCCCCACGTGCGGCATTCCGTCCGCGTCGATGGCCCTATTTGTGGTGCCCTGTCCTTGTCCTCCAAGCCGGGGGCCGTTTCTCCTTCAGAGCCCGTCTCACTCAGTCCCTGGTTTCACTGGTATCAGTTCTGGCTTCTCTCTAGTCTTAGAAGCCAGCCACCCTCCCTAGACTGCACCATCCCTTGATGGGAGTTTGCCTTTCTTTGCCTCTGAGGATATTTAAATGTGGCCAGGCTGGGCCGAAATACCTCTGAAGGAACTGTGCATTCGTTCATAAGCTTTGTAGCGTCACAAAACTCTGACCAGTATTTTTGATTGAATTCTGAATATTTCTGAGCTTTTGTGTGATTCCGTGGTTACGGCTTCCAGTGTCATTCAGTGGACGTGTTCCAGGTGTGTGAACACACGCACACACACGCTCACACATTCACACACGCGTGCACACAACCTACACACATGCAAACACCTACATTCACATGTGCACACACACCTACAAACATGCACACCTACACTCACACATATGCACACTCACACACGCACACACCTACAGTCACACATGCACACACCTACATTCACATGTGCGCACACACCCACACACACCTACACACATGCACACACCTACACTCACACATGCACACTCGCACACACACCTACACTCACGCACACACACCTACACACATGCACACACCTACACTCACACATATGCACACTCTCACTCACGCACCCTACACTCACACACCCTACACTCACATGCAAACACCTACATTCATATGTGCACACACCTACACTCACACACACCTACAGTCACACACATGCACACTCACACACACCTACACTCACCTACACTCACACAATGCACACTCGCGCCATCACACACACGTGCACACACAGACTCACACACACACTCGCTCTGCAGGGTCCTGGCTGTTGGAGTGTCTGGTCTGCACATCCTGTGGGGCTTCTCTGGGGACGTCCTGCTCCCTGTTTGAGTCTGTCTGTGCCCTGGGGTCTCAGTCCCATCTCACTTGTTTCTCTCCCGCTGAAGAGCTTGTATAAAGATTCCTTCACAGAGCAGTGCCAGGTACACCCCCTGCCTGCACCCAAAGGGAGCCGCCTCCACCTGGCCTGTCTTTGGACTTACACTGGGGCAGTGGCTTGATCTGCTGGTCATTTTGTGGATTGAGTCATGTGAGGGCAGAGTGTTCTGACAGGCTCGGGTGAAAATGGGTAACCCAGGCCACGCGCAGTGGCTCACGCCTGTAATCCCAGCACTTTGGGAGGCCGAGGCGGGCGGATCACGAGGTCAGGAGATCGAGACCGTCCTGGCTAACACGGTGAAACCCCGTCTCTATTAAAAATACAAAAAATTAGCCAGGCGTGGTGACGGGCGCCTGTAGTCCCAGCTACTCGGGAGGCTGAGGCAGGAGAATGGCGTGAACCCGGGAGACGGAGCTTGCAGTGAGCCGAGATCTTGCCACTGCACTCCAGCCTGGGCGACAGAGCGAGACTCCGTCTCAAAAAAAAAAAAAAAAAAAAAAAAAGCAGAACTGGGTAACCGCACAACCCGGAGTCCTATAAGCATCTTGGGGTTTTGAGAATCACCCTGCCGAGTGAAGGGGGCCTGCCAAATGCTGCCAGTGCGTTGAGGTGTCTGGGGGGCGGTACGGGTGGGGGAGTCGGGGCCTCGAGGCTGTGCCCTTGAGCTGTCCATCTCACAGGGTGGCGGCCTCTGCCGTGGTCTTGATGATGAGTTTGGGCCCCAGGCCGGCCTGGCCAAAGTCCCACTGCCGCTGACAGGCTGGCCACCGGCTTCCTTCGGTGCCCTGGGCTGAGCCGGGCTGTGTGACCCATCTCCACAGGACCACTGGGCTCACCAAGGACCTGGCATTTGGCGTCCCCCCACCTCCTGGTCTCGTGGGAATAACTGGCTTCCAGAGTGCTGCCCCCCCCCCAACCCCGGGGCTTTACGCAGCCTGGGGAATGTGCAGCCGTGTGCAGTGCTGAAAATTCTTTTTCTAAGGAGACCGTTGTCAACACACCTGGCAGAAGACAGACCCCGTTAGCAGTTGTCTGAGTCATCCTCGGCTGCCAGGGAGCACGGCACTCTTTGCAGGGAGGTTTACAGCCCCTTCTCTCTTAGGCCAGGGGCCCTGTCTGGTTTGGCTCCCGTGGCCCAACCTTCAGGGAGGGCGGACGGCCTGAGGGCTGTGCAGGGCCTGGAGCAGATGCGGAAGCAGCTAGAGGTGCCGGGCGGCCGGGGTGAGGGCCCTTTGCTCCTCCAGCGTTGAATCCTCTTCTCTGTTTTCCTTCTTCCCTCCTGTGCCACCTCCTCCCGCTCTGCCTTCTCCGCCTCCTTCTTTCTTCCTCTTCTGCTTCCCTCCTTCCTCATCCCGTTCCCTTCCTTGACTCTCTTCCTTTGCCCCTTTCAAAAAAATGGATTTGAGGCAGAATCTGTTTATATAAAAATGAAACATTTGGAGATTGCATGTTTCAACCAGAAGAGGGGCTGCCTCGAGACCTTTAGAGCGGTTTTGCAGTTCTCTTTTATGTGTTTTGTCTAATTTTTTTTTTTTGAGGCAGAGTCTCGCTCTGTCGCCCAGGCTGGAGTGCAGTGGCAAGATCTCCGCTCACTGCAAGCTCTGCCTCCCGCGTTCAAGCGATTCTCCTGCTTCAGCCTCCTGAGTAGCTGGGAGTACAGGGGTGCGCTACCACGCCCAGCTAATTTTGTATTTTTAGTAGAGACGGGGTTTCACCATGTTGGTCAGGCTGGTCTCCACCTCCTGACCTCAGGGGATCCACCTGCCTCAGGCTTCCAAAGTGCCAGGATTACAGGTGTGAGCCACCGTGCCCGGCTCCTTTCCTTAACTCTCTAAGCAGGGGAGTGTTTTGGGGGAGCCGGGAGGAGGGAGGAACGGAAGGATCCGAGGAACAGATTCTGGGCATTGGTTGGTGTTTGTCATCCCATCTCACCCCCACGGCCTTTCAGTTCTGATTTTCATCTGATGTTAACGAGCTAAATAGGCTGCCGTTAAAGAAAACGTAACTAGACATAGATATCTCGCTGTCATCCCACCCACATTCCTGCCTCAGCAGCAACTCACACGGACTCTTAACGTACACGCCACTCACATGCACTCGTAACGTGCACACCACTCACAGACTCGTAACGTGCACGCCACTCACAGACTCGTAACGTGCACGCCACTCACAGACTCGTAACGTGCACGCCACTCACACGGACTCGTAACGTGCACGCCACTCACAGACTCGTAACATGCACGCCAGTCACAGACTCGTAACGTGCACGCCAGTCACAGACTCGTAACGTGCACGCCACTCACACGGACTCGTAACGTGCACGCCACTCACACGGACTCGTAACGTGCACGCCACTCACAGGGACTCGTAACGTGCACGCCACTCACACGGACTCTTAACGTGCACGCCACTCACAGACTCGTAACGTACACGCCACTCACAGACTCGTAACGTACACGCCACTCACACAGACTCGTAACGTACACGCCACTCACACGGACTCTTAACGTGCACGGCACTCACAGGGACTCTTAACGTACACGCCACTCACACTGACTCGTAAGGTGCCCGCCGCTCGCACTGGCTCGTAAGGTGCCCGCCGCTCACACGGACTCGTCACATGCACACGGCACTGTGCGCTCGGCAGTTTTTACTAAACAGTGTGGCGCAAAAATTTGCCGTGTCGCTATGGTCTTTGTAAGGACCATTTTCATGATCACTTAATATTTTGCCTGCTGGTGCGTCCTCACCAGCTCTTTCTGTCCTAGAACCTGCTTTTCCTTCCATTGCTCCTCCCAGCTCCCAGCAATCTTTGGGTAATTCCTCCTGGCTGCCTCAGATCACGTTGCCATCCAGATGCAGAGAAGGCTGGGTCACAGCCCTGCCCGCTCCTCTCTGCCTCCCAGGGTCCTGGACCCCTTCAGCTTCCTTGCCCCAGCCCCCACCTGCTTCAAAACTCCGTGTCTCGTTGGCAGTGGAAAAGTCACCAGACTAAACCGTGGGACAGTCTCGGCGCACCTGGCTTTGAGATGGTTTTAAATACTTGCAACTAGGCTCCTCCTTGGAGAAGAGAGTTTGGAGTTGACTCTTCTGTGTGTTTTGAGGGAGACGGTGAAAGGGGTCTGTAGGCGCCACTCATGTCACAGAGCAGGGGACTCAGGGCTGCGCCCTCTCTAGGAACTTAGAGTCCGTGTTCCAAGCCCAGGAGTGTAGCTTGGGATGGTGGAAGCAAAAGCACGCCAACCCCACCCTTGGCAGACATCACACTGTTGCCGGAACCCTCACCACGGTCTTGACAGTGTCTCTGCTTTCTGCTTCTTTAGCTAACTTCTTCCAGCCCATCACGGAGGACTCTGTTGATCTCACTAGAGCAAGCTCCCAGTTTTCCGTATGTCTGCCTTCTCACGAGCCAAATAATCAGTTTAGGGGTGATTAAAAGAATATAATGGCTGGGTGCGGTGCCTCACACCTGTAATCCCAGCAGTTTGGGAGGCCGAGGCGGGCAGATCACTTGAGGTCAGGAGTTTGAGACCAGCTTGGCCAACATGGTGAAACCCCGTCTCTACTAAAAAATTAAAAAAATGAGCCAGGTGTGGTGGCGGGTGCCTGTAATCCCAGCTACTGGGGAAGCTGAAGCAAGATAATCACTTGAACCCAGGAGGCGGAGGCTGCAGGGAGCTGAGATCGCACCATTGCATTCCAGCCTGGGCAACAGAGTGAGACTCTGTCTCAAAAAAAAAAAAAAAACTGGTTTATAATAATAGCCAATACTTATAGAATACTTACAATATCAATATACCAGGTACTCTGCTAATAAGTGTTTTACACTGGCCGGGCATGGTGGTTCACACCTGTTATCTCAGCACTTTGGGAGGCCGAGGTGGGCGGATCACCTGAGGTCGGGAGTTCGAGACCATCCTGGCCAACATGGGGAAACCCCGTTTCTACTAAAAATTATCTGGGTGTGGTGGTGTGTACCTGTAACCCCAGCTACTTGGGAGGCTGAGGCAGGAGAATCGCTTGAACCCGGGAGGTGGAGCTTGCAGTGAGCCGAGATCGCGCCACTGCACTCCAGCCTGGGCAGCAGAGGGAGACTGCGTCTAAAAAAAAAAAAAAAATGTGTATTTCAGAGAACCTGCTTCAAGGGCTGGGGGAACAGGGCGTGTGTGAAGGGGGAGAAAGGGAAATGGTGGCTGTGGTCTCAGCCTTCTCCCCCAGGAGCAGAGGGAGGTGGGTGGTGCAGAAAGCTGCAGGTACAGGACTTCCCCGCCCTGGTTAAGACAGTCCCCATCGCAGGTGCTGTGAGGACCCCAGAAGCGTCCACGGCCTGGCAGGAAGAGCAGCAGCTTCTGCAACAGGTGGATCAGGGTCCTGTCCCCAGTGTAACCACTGCCTGGCTGGGTGACCCCCATCCCTACTGTAACCACTGCCTGGCTGGGTGACCTGGGGGTCACCTTGACCATCTGTTAGGGGGATCCTGATGCTGCCCGCCCCATCTGTGATAAGGATTAGCCAGTGCCATCTGTGCCGTGCCTAGCACAGGGCAGACGGCCGCAGAAGCCAGTTCCGTTTCCCGCCCCTGGTTCACCTTTGGAGGGATGTGCACTCGTCATGGCTGTAGGCCAAGCTCGTCAGGACCAGCTGAGGGGAGGCAGCCTGGCACAGCAGACATGGGTGCTTTCCCCCGTGCAGGGGCCGAACACGAGTGGCTTCCTTGGGCCCAAGTTGGTTTCTGCTTATGCAGACAGTCACGCGGCCCAACACGGCCCGTCCCGGCACACCTCGTCTTAGGAGGAGCCGTTCCTCGGGGAAGCCCCTGAGTGCTCCTCAGAAGCCAGGTGGGGGCTCCGTGTCCTCGCCATGCTGTCCTGGGCCCCGCAGGCACGGACTCAAAAGAGGCTGCAGCCACAGTCAGGAAAAAGGCCGCTTGGAGGAGGCCCTCGGAGAGCCCCAGGCGCTGAGCCGGGAAATGGGCAGCTTTGCCTTCAGGTTGGCTTCTCCTCCCTCCCCGTCCCCCGTGCCTGCCTCTCTTCCACAGACCCACTCGGCATCCCACGCCGGGGCACACGCAGGCTGGCCGCGGGGCCTGTCACAGCAGCAGGGGCTCTGGTTTACCCCAGTGCTCATAATTGCCCAATTTCAGAAACACCCTACTCTGAGGAAGGACCTTGCCGGGGGGATTTTGAGAAGGGTGTGTGGTGATGTGGAGGGGCTCCTGTGCGGCCAGCTGTCCCTGTGGTGGTCCCTGGCCCGGATTCCCTTTGGGCTGCAGCCTCGAGACCAGCCCCCGAGCCTCATGGATGGACACAGCGGGCATGGACCCCGGCCTCAGGGGATAAAATGCAGCCTGAGGATGTGGCTGGAAATGCCCAGGTTTCTTGTGCGGCAGCACACACAGCTCCTCGGGCACTGTCCACGCTGAGCACACCCGAAAATCCCCAGTGAGAGCCGGCCGCATGTGTGTGTGGGCGCGTGCGTGTGTGTGTGTGTGTGTGTGTGTGTATGTGAGTGTGTGTGATGTCGGAGTGGCTGTTCTCAAGAGCCTGTTCTCTCTGGACCCACTCCCTGATACATCAGCCACTTTGTCTCATAGGTGTGAACATAATGGATTCGTTGATTCCTTTCGAAGGCAGGCACGCCCGCGGTGCTGGTGGCCGCAGCAGGGTACGAAACACGAGGGCCATATGTCTGGTACCTCGGCATCCCCCCGACAGGGAAGGAGAATGTCAGCGGAGCAAATTACTGACCGAATCCTTGGGAATCTATAAATATTAAATTGCTCTGACTTTCACATAAAATTCAGGCTCTGGGCAGCCCAGGAGGAGAGGCGTCTGGAACGTGCAGGGTGTGGGGGGAGCGGCTGCCAGTGGAGAGACAAAGGTCCCCGAAGGGTGGGCCGTGGGTGGGGGCCTGTAGCCCTGGCTGGAGGAGAGGCTGCGGGGAGTGGGGTAAAAAGAACAGAGACACAGAAAACCCACGTGCACCTTGACCAGAGTGGGGCTTTCTCTGAGTTTTCATTGAAGGCTTTTTGGCTGGGGTTGCGCGGTTTCTGGTTTGCAGGCAAGCTTTCTGTTACTTTTCTTCCCCAGCCCTGGGGAAGGGGGGAGCTGGGGTGCAGACGGCGGGGGCTGCAGCCCTGGGGAAGGGGGGAGCTGGGGTGCAGACGGCGGGGGCTGCAGCCCTGGGGAGGGGGTTGTGCTGGGGTGCAGACGGCGGGGGCTGCAGCCCTGGGGAGGGGGTTGTGCTGGGGTGCAGACGGCGGGGGCTGCAGCCCTGGGGAGCGGGGAGGGCTGGGGTGCAGACGGCGGGGGCTGCAGTCAGCTGTCCTCCTCTTCGAGTCTCCGGTGCGGCCAGCCTCAGGTTCCCCCCGGCGGCACTGGCCCTGCGCTCACTGTGGCCGGGCGAGGACCCGTCTTGCATCGGTGGCCACAGCAAGTCCGCCGTGTGGTCACTGCACTGCCTGTTCCGTGTTTGACCCCCAGCAGCTGGGGAAGGTCTTCTGTGTCTTTGGGAGACCAGCAGTGAGTGATTGCTCCGATGCGCCATGACCCTGTGCTAAGTTCTTATTTATTTATTTATTTGTTTAGAGACAGAATCTTGCTCTGTTGTCCAGGCTGGAGTGCAGTGGTGCAATCCTGGCTCACTGCAACCTCCACCTCCCGAGTTCGAGCGATTCTCCTGCCTCAGCCTCCCGAGTAGCTGGGACTACAGGCGCCCGCCACCACGCCCAGCTAGTTTTTGTATTTTTAGTAGAGACGGGGGTTTCACCATGTTGGCCAGGCTGGTCTCCAACTCCTGACCTCAAGTGATCCATCCACCTCAGCCTCCCAAACTCTAAGTTCTTTAACCGCATGAACTCATTGATCTTTCTGTAGCGGAATAAGGTAGGAACGACAACACACTCATCAGGCTGCAGCTGAGGATCCTGAGGCCCTGAAAGGCGAAGGTGACAGGTTACAGGCTGACCCGAGGGGGTTCCATGGCTCCCCCTGGCCAGGCCTGGATTCTCCCCAGGCTTTGTGACTTTAGACCTGGCCTCTTCATTGTGAGCCTGTACCAGGTCCTCGGTGGGCTCCACCACGGTCGGGGGGACCCCGGGCTGGACCCCGCGAGCCTCCTGCCAGGCAGGGCCAGCATCTCCCGGGCCAGCGGCCAAGCACCCCCTCTTCCCTGCAGGCATCCCCACGCTCATCATGCTGGACCCGCAGGGCGAGGTGATCACGCGGCAGGGGCGGGTGGAGGTGCTGAACGACGAGGACTGCCGGGAGTTCCCCTGGCACCCCAAGCCCGTGCTGGAGCTCTCCGACTCCAACGCCGCGCAGCTTAACGAGGGCCCCTGCCTCGTCCTTTTTGTAGGTATGAAGCTCACGGGGGCAGGGGGCGAGGGGTGGCTGGGGGGCGGGACAGGAGGGGCCTCACTTGGGAGGAGCCTGTCCCTGCCGCTTCTCTCTGTCACCAGCAGTGCAAGCCTGGGCCTTTGTCTCTCCCTGAAGCCTTGCTTTTGACCCCAATGATTTATTCATGGCTGGCCCCTGTGGGAGCTGCAGCTGCACTTTCCCTCCTAGCTGCTCCCCAGCTGCCAGCTGGGCAGAATAGGTCAGGCCGGGAGGATGCCCTCGGGGCCCCCATGCGCAGACCCATTGTTGGAAAGGGCGGGTGGCACACACGGCAGCTGCAGGGGCTGGGCCCCTCTGGCCGAGGCTCACCAAGGCTGCTTCTGCGGATCCTCTGTGCTCTGAAGAGCTGCTCCAGCCCGGTGGCTGCCTTGGCTCCTTTGTCCTCGCTTGCACCTCCCCGTCTCCCATCTCACCCAGTCTGAGCTCCGTGGGTAACTGCCCAGCCGGGCCAGGGGGACACAGGCGCATCCATGCCAGGCTCCCTGCAGTCTGATGGGATGACCCTGGTTCCTTTTGCAAAACCTGGCCCTCTGCCTTGGACTTGTGGCTCCCCTCCAACAACTCAAAATCACTGTACGAGCCTGGGTGTGGTGGCTCACGCCTGTAATCCCAGCTACTCGGGAGGCTGAGGCACGAGAATCGCTTGAACCGGGGAGGCAGAAGTTGTAGTGAGCCCAGATGGCACCACTGCACTCCAGCCTGGGCAACAGAGCGAGACTCTGTCTCAAAAAAAAAAAAAAAAAAAAAAAAAAGCCGCTGACCAGACCACAGTCCTCACCCCCTCCCGCTCACCACCAGTTCTTCTGCCATTTTCACTGGGAAGTCGGAGGTCGGAGGTCATGGCTTCTCATTCTGTGGCTGAGAGAAACACTAGCAGGCGCCTCAGGTCCTGGCTTAGGGGAAGCTCAGCCTCCCAGGCGGGTTTGTGAGGAATTCAATGGGAAGACTGTCTACCTGGGAGAGCAGAGCTGCTCAGTGAGGCAGGTTCCTCCTGGGGAGCCCGGTGCAGGAGAGCACTGTGAGCTTTGCTGCTGGGACGCATGTGCACACACACCCATGCATGCGGGGAGCAAGACCTGCATCCAAGGGGAAGTTCATTTCCGTTCAGGGGCCGCTCAGGCGGGCGTTTCTGCAGCTCAGGCCCCCTCGGCGGGTGCCGCTCTGTTTGACAAGCCAGTGCTTTTTCTCCCCGTCTTTTTCTACCCCCGACCCAATCACAGATTCTGAGGATGACGGAGAGTCCGAGGCGGCCAAGCAGCTGATTCAGCCGATAGCTGAGAAAATCATTGCCAAGTACAAAGCCAAAGAGGAGGAGGCACCCCTTCTGTTCTTCGTAGCCGGGGAGGTGAGTGCGGAGGAGAGGCTTGGCCCAGGGCTGGCTCAGCTGGGACTTCTGGCACAGGACTGATCCTGGCCCCAGGGTTGCCTGAAAGGACCCCAGGGTCAGGGCTGCCTGTGCTTCTGAGAGAGCCCACAGACAAATGTGGCAAGGAAAGGTAGCCATTCGCCATGGAAAACCATTCCCTCCCCTGCTGCTTCCTCTTCCCGTCCATGCTCGGCAGCCTCAGGTCAGCAGGGAGCCGTCCCCAGGCTGCTTCCCGCCTGAGCGGCTGGGGAGAGTGGCCGTGGCTGCAAAGTGTGATCCACACCTCCTGGGTCACAACCAGGCCCTTGAGTCTTTACAAAATGCTGGGTTCGTGCCTCCGCGCTGGCTGCAGTGGGCCGATCTCATCAGAGGGATCCTGGCTGGGGCTACTGCTTATACCTGCGGTCACCCAGCCGGCCCGGTGAGTGCTGAGGTTGGAAATTGCTGCCGCTCCCCGTCTGTTTCACCCAGGCTGTCCCTTTGAGGTCTCCAGCGGGGCTGGACCAGGCAGGAGACTCTTCACAGGGTGGGAAAGTGGGGCTTTCAGCAGAGCGCCCTCCCGCAGGTACCCAGTTATCCAGGGCCTGGAACCCTGCACCCTGCACCCTGCAGACGGGCGTCTCCGCGACTCAGCACAGGTGCAGGCTCTCATTCTTGAGCTCCTCCAACCCAGGAGCCTCCTCCATGCCTGCGCTGCCACCTCCCCACCCCACCCCACCCCACTGACTGACAGACAGTTTTGGAGGCCGCCCCCTGCCCTCCATCCACCCATCTGTACCTCCAGTTGGTCAGAGCCCTGTGCTGATTTCACGCTGTGTTTGGATCCCAGGAGAGGCACGGAGGAGGCAGGCGGCAGCCAGACACCCTGTGCCACCCATTCATCACCTCAGCCCCCGGCCCTGCCCAGCCCAGCACCTGGGTCCTTCCCAGGCGGCTCCAGTCACCTGCTCAGCCCGGGGGTGGAGGGGAGCAAAGAGGTTCACAGGCCCTGCCTCGGGGTGGCACTGGCCACTGCACACCAAGCCCAGCCCCAGGGAGGCTGCGCGGCATGCAGTGACTCCAACCCCTGCAGAATGGCTCTGAGAAAAGATGGCTGCAGCACAGCAGGGGCCGGGCACGGGCGGGGGCGGCCTTGAGAGGTGTCAAGTCTGGAAGGAGCATTTGCAGGTTTTCTGTACGCCAGGCACAGAGCCGCATATTTCACCTGGGCTGTCTCCTTCGCTCCTGGCTCTCTGGCTGGGAACGTAGTCGCTGTCCTGTTTCACAGGGGAGGGAGGCAAGGTTCAGAGTGGACGAGGGGCTGCTCCAAGGCAGTTTGCTGGCTCCCGTCTGGCTGGGCTGGACTTTTGTGTCTCCAAAAAATGTACAAAAATTAGCCAGGCATGGTGCTGCATGGCTAGAGTCCCAGCTACTCAGGAGGCTGAGGTGGGAGGATTGCTTGAGCCCAGGAGGTGGAGGCTGCAGTGAGCTATGACTGCGCCACTTCACTCCAGCTGGGGCAACAGAAAGAGACTCTATCTCCAAAAAAAAAAAGTAGCTCCCTTACAAATCCTTTCTCCTTGTCTTTGGATTTCTGTGTTTGCCTTGGTGTCTGCATGAGGCTATGTCTGCTATTAGGGAAATTCACCAGGACAGCTGCTGGGAATGTAGGATAAAGTGCCAGCTTCTTTCTCAGATAAGTAGTGAGGCAGCGTAAGCTTCCACAGTGCTTAAGCAGCGCTGTCTTCTGAACTGGCTGGCTGTGCAGCTCCTGTCCTGCCTGAAACCACAGGGGTGGGAGTTGGAACACAGCGAGCTGTCTCTGTTTAAAAACATTCCAGAGTTGAAGTCCAGATTGGCCTCAGATAACCCACAGTGGGGCTGCAAATCATTGACAGTTGGTTACAAAAATAAACAATCAGAGGCTATGACATTTCTAGACTGGCACGGTGGCTGACGCCTGTAATCCTAGCACTTTGGGAGGCCAAGGTAGGCGGATCACCTGAGGTCAGGAGTTGGAGACCAGCCTGACCAACATGGTGAAACCCCGTCTCTACTAAAAATGTAAAAAATTAGCCGGGCGTGGTGGGCGCCTGTAGTCCCAGCTACTCAGGAGGCTGAGGCAGGAGAATTGCTTAAACCCGGGAGGTGGAGCTTGCAGTGAGCCGAGATCGTGCCACTGCACTCCAGCCTGGGTGACAGAGCGAGACTCCATCTCAAAAAAAAAAAAAAAAAAAAGAATGTGACATTTCTAAAATGCTGAGGACGTATTAAAATGGTGTTGATGCTAATAAATACATAAATAATTAAATACAGACGACTTACCTAGTGGTTTGCAGGGCGGATGCAAAGAGAGAATTTTACAAAGCAGCCCCTTCCTCCGGAAGGCAGGGCAGGGTTCCCTCCTTCCCAGGCTGGGAGCCCTCTGCTTGGGAAACGCCGGCTCTTCAGGGTGCGGGAGCTACCACACCTGGGGAGACTGGGCCCAGGGGACTCTCCCCCTCCTTTCTTTAAAACTTCTTGGTTTTCTCTCCCTCCTGACGGCTTCAGGATGACATGACTGACTCCCTGCGAGATTACACCAACCTGCCTGAGGCTGCCCCTTTGCTCACCATCCTGGACATGTCAGCCCGGGCCAAGTACGTGATGGACGTGGAGGAGATCACCCCCGCCATCGTGGAGGCCTTTGTGAATGACTTCCTAGCAGAGAAGCTCAAACCGGAGCCCATCTAGCGTGGCTCCGGCCTCCTGAGACGTTATTTAAAACTCAGCCTTCTCCTCCTCCCCCTCCTTCCTTCCGCCCTTGGACTTACCCAGCGTGCCCCGAATCCCACCACCCAAGTGTCCAGCCTCTCTGTGGTGCCTTGTTTCTGCAGTAAACTCCTCAGCCAGCACCCTGGGGTGTGGAATCAGCAGCGGCAGAGTCCACCGTGTTTGGAGACTCTGTTTGGGAGCACGGGATGGCCGGGGGCCCGGCCAGAGCGGGGCTGCATGGCTTTCGCAAAGTCACTAGCTTTTGGTGAAGGATCTGCCAGGGTGTCCTGGGCAGAGTGAGCGTGGAGGGCCGGTGGGTCCCGCTCGGGCTCTGACTCTGACGTCGGCACACACGGCCCCGGACGGCCAGAGGGGAACCGCCGGGTGACACCTGCGTGGAGGCTGAGCTGAGAAAGGGCCTCCGCTTAGAGCTGCGGGTGAGGACGTCCTTTTCTAAGCAACACAGTCTTCCTCGGTCTGAGAGAAAAGCAGCCCACTCTTGTGTTCTCAGGCAGGGGATCTCCAAATGCAAAAGGAAGCTTGTAGAGGTTTTTTGGGTGAGAAGAAAAATGTAGCTAAGGTAATGGTTCATATCATACAAACAGCTCCCACGATCCTGAAATTCTGTTAACGAATCCTTCTCTTTGGACATCTTCCCAAGAAACTTAGCCCTGAGTCCTAGGAGGAGCACCTCTGCACCAGCACGGACCTCTCGCTCCACCCAGCTCTGTGCCCAAGGCCCCTGATCTCTGCTGAGGTGCCCACACCCACGTTCGATCACCCCTGCCATTCCCTTTTATTTTCTTTTTTTTGAGATGGAGTCTTGCTCTGTCGCCCAGGCTGGAGTGCAGTGGCACCATCTTGGCTCACTTCAACCTCCGCCCCCAAGGTTCAAGTGATTCTCCTGCCTCAGCCTCCCGAGTAGCTGGGATTACAGGCACCCGCCACCGTACCTGGCTAATTTTTGTATTTTTAGTAGAGATGGGGTTTCACCATGTTGGCCAGGCTGGTCTCGAACTCCTGACCTCAGGTGATCCACCCGCCTCGGCCTCCCAAAGTGCTGGGATTACAGGCGTGAGCCGCCGTGCCCGGCCCCCTTTTCTTTTCAAAGCAGAACTACAAAGATGAGAAATTACCAGAAGCCTCGCCTTTTCCTAAGCACCAGCGGAAGGAGCTGTGCCCCGGGATGGAGTGAGGGTGGAGGGCGCGTCAGCCACGGGTGGGCCTTGTGTCGCCTTGTATCGGCCCAGGTAGGTTGTTGGCCTCTTACTTGGGCTGACCTGACCCCCGAAAGAGAAACAGACAACTCTGTTCTCAGGATTGGGGATGGACGGCTTCGGCCAAGCGTTTTAGCCTCATTCACTCAGGCCCCACTCAGCACTCTGCCAGCCAAGACCATTGATTTGGAAAATCCGGTCCCCACCCGCTAATGAGCTGTTGACACTGTTGTTCCTTGCTGAATTGGATTGTTGACTTGTAGTTCAGAGGCGTACAACTAGTTGGCGATTAGACTTGTTATGTGATGTTACCAGCCTGAAATGCGATCACCCCGTAGGAAATAAAGCAGGCATCTCTGGACCTCATCCACCCTGGGCCTCTGCTGTCCTTGATCACAAAAGTTGTTTTTGCTTGTGGTCCTGTGCTCTATCGGGGTGGGCAGTGGAGGATACCTGGTAGCTGGGAGCTGAGTCCCAGGAGTTTTGAGACCCCCAGGATGTAGCATCTGTCACATCCTCTTGGCTTCCGGCAGCCAGGAAGCTCATTTGGATGACCGTGGCAGAGGCAGATCCCTCCTGCAGCCCTGGCCACCGTCTCTCCTGGTTTGACTTGGCCCTGGACGGAGGGTGAATCCTCAGATCGCGTACCTTGCTGTGGACATTCTTGCCCATTTCCTCCCTCCAGGGGAGCCGAGTCCTCTGAAGCCTGAGAAAGCTGGTTGGGAGAACAGGAGGAATCACGCACGGGTCTCCTTGTGAAGAATGGGCCAAGTGTGGGAGCCTCTTAAACCCAGCAGGTCCCAGGCTCAAGGCTTCTCTGGGAACGCTGCCAGAGTCTCCCTTAGGGGTCGGGGTGGGTGGGATGAATGTGGCCGACCTGAATGTGGGAGGTGGCAGGATTTCTCTCCATGTATCATGATGGCCTCGGAGGAAAGGTGGGTTCTCTTAGCAGCTGCTTACCTTTGGGGCAGGAGGAACAAAGTCCAGCGAGGGGGTTGCCCTAAGTCATTGCAACTGGATTCTTGACACCAGAATTCCCCTTTTAGAGTGGGTCTGTAGCTTCCTTAAGACCCGTGGGGAAGGTTTACTCCAAAGGTTCAGGTTTATACAGTGACTGCTTTGCGGGAAACCGTTAGGGAAGAATCACTTCTGAGTGTCAGGGATCGATAGTGAGAGGTCGTAAAGGCCACAGATGCAGGCGAAGTGGGTGGCATGATAATCCCCGCCAAGCAGCTCCACCTTCAGATTCTTGTTGCTAATTGGAAGCAGGTTCAGCACCAGCTGTGGCATATTCAAGGGCTTCCTCCGGCAGCCAGGAAAACCAGGCCCTGCAGGTGGAGGCTGGGGGCGGCTGTGAAAACGCCACTCTGTGGTTCCCAGATTTGTGTTTACCACAGTGACTTCCAGATCCCATCCATTCATCCTCACAACAGCGATGAGGGTTTTTTTTTTTTTTTTTTTTTGAGACAGAGTCTCGCTCTGTCGCCCCGGCTAGAGTGCAGTGGCACGATCCCAGCTCACAGGTTCAAGCCATTCTCCTGCCTCAGTCTCCCAAGTAGCTGAGATTACAAGCGACACCACCGCGCCTGACTAATTTTTGTATTTTTAGTAGAGACGGGGTTTCGCCATGTTGGCCAGGCTGGTCTCGAACTCCTGACCTCAGGTGATCTGCCTGCCTTGGCCTCCCACAGTGCTGGGATTCCAGGCGTGCGCCGGCACAGCCAGCCTGTTGTTGTTGTTTTTTTTAACCTGTCTTCCCAACATTAAAAGCCTGTTGAAGAAAAAGGGTATGTTTTCCACATTGAATTCCTAATTGGGAAAAAAAATACTAAAAAAAGAGAAAAGGGTATGTTTGGGACCAGCACATACAGCAGATGAAAACCAGCTTCTTTTCCAGAGCGAGGTGACTTCCTGCTCTTGCTTTTCGCCCCTTGGTACGTCCTTGAAATCAATGGCCATCACTTACCAGAACGCAGGGAGCGAGTGCTGTGTTGGCATCGGCCAAGCTTCAAATAGTAATTTTCAGCCAGACTTTGTTTTTTCCTGTTGCCTAATTAAAGACACTGAAAAGCTGTTCTCCCCTCCTGCTGCCTTGTTCTAGGACAGCAAACTGAATTCAGGAACAATACAGACGGAGCCGGATGTGGCCCAGGAGCAGATGCGCGGGACCTAACACGGTGTTGCCCCGTGCAGCTTAGGGAGGAAATGCAATGTATGAGAGGACACACGTCTGGGAACCCTGCACACTGGGAAGCGTAGTACCAGCAGGGCCCTGAGCGAGGGCACACGCTGTTGACGGTGCCGTTGCCCTGGGCAGGCCCATGTGTTGTGCGCGCTGTGGGTGGCTGTGCACACAGGCCCGCAGGTTCAGGAGTAGCACTGAGCAGGGGGCTGTGAGCTCAAAGGATCTTTCCAGTTTGCCCCGAAGCAGCTGAATGAGAGAAGTGGGCACTTGGCTACACCCCTCACTGCTGCCGCCAGCAGACGAGGGCACACGCCCTGCTTCCTCCAGGCTGCGGCTGCGCAAGGGAAAATTCTTTGGGAACAAATAGCTGTTGACCAGTAGCTTCATTAGTGCTGGGAATATAACATGAGGGCGTTCTAGGTACACCTCGTATGTGAGCGCATGAAGACAGGTAAGTATGCCTACTGCCATTTTTCAAGGCGTGTGTCTCACCCCCTTGGTGCTTTGGGACACTTCCCAAGCCCGAGAATGTGTCAGGAGGTTTGGGTGGAACTGTTGGGTTTCTGTTAAACGATACACAACTCGTGAAAGACTCTGTCCCCAGGTCTGTAGGCCAGTGTGCAATCCAGAGGCAGAGACGGCCTCCAGTCCGGATTCCGGGTGCTTATGCCTCACTCACATGAGGAAGTCACCCACAGGTGCTAGAATGACGACACAGTAGGAGACGTGATCTCAGGGCCAAAAAATCCATCTCTCGAATGTCAGAGGACATGGAGGTCCTACTTGGCAGGCTTGCAGTGAGTACGCCCCGCCCTCGGCATCTCAGAGGAGCAGGGAAGGGAGGCTGAGGCCGGAGCTTGCTGCAGCCGTCGGCTCCTCCCTCCCCAGCCTTGTTCCCTGTTCCCTTCCTGCATTTCTTTTTTTTTTTTTTAAAGACAAGAGTTTCACTTTTGTCACCCAGGCTGGAGTGCAGTGGCACGATCTGACTCACTGCAACCTCCGCCTCCCACATTCAAGCAAGTCTCCTGTCTCAGCCTCCCAAGTAGCTGGGACTACAGGCACACGCCACCACGCCGGGCTAATGTTTGTATTTTTAGTAGAGACAGGGTGTCGCCATGTTTGCCAGGCTGATCTCAAACTCCTGACCTCGTGATCCGCCCGCCTTGGCCTCCCAAAGTGCTGGGATTACAGGCGTGAGCCACCGCACGCGGCCCCCTTCGTGCCTTTTGAGGAAGCAGCAGCCTTGGTCATGGCCCATAAGAACTCAGACTTCAACTGAAAAAAGTGGCTCTTCCCTACACAACAGTCCAGGAAGCTGGATATTGGGAGTGTGGTGAGACGAGAACTGACCCATCCATAAGCTATTCTGGATTCTCTGTCACTCTCAGCCGTGGAGCATCAAGCAGGCTTCCTGAAGCTTCGGGAGGACCTGGCTTCAGCTGCTGTCTCAGCTGCTCGAATGTAACATGGTTCCGTAGTTGAGACTTCAGTCATCCTGAGCAATAAACCAGCTCATCCACTAACTTGGCTCCTAGCTTATTACATGTGTGCACTCCCTGCACTGATGAAAACAGGAAACATGGCGGGCGCAGGGGCTCACGCCTGGCATCCCAGCACTTTCGAGGCTGAAGCAGGAGGATAGCTTGAGGCCGGGAGTTCAAGACTAGCCTAGGCAACGTGGCAAAACCCCATCTAAAAAAAAAAAAAGAAAACAGAGGAAACACAATCATGGAATTTTTAAGGTGGCAACATGTTTTCTTAAAAACAGGTGAGCCTGTCAGCTCTGCTCCTGAGGGAGAGGTAGCTTGGTCAAGAGGGCAGCCCCAGGCCCTGCAGTACAGCTGGTGATTTTCAGCCCAGAGCCCTGGAACCTTGGATGGGGAGTGTGTGTGAGGGCTGTGCGTGGTAGAATGGCAAAAGTGGGGCTAAGTGTGGCCCAGCGTGGCTGGTGCGGACATCTGGGGTTGCTGTCAACCCCGGGGCAAGCAGCGGAAGGTCCCAGGTGAACGGCAGGTCCCCAGAGGTCTGTTTCTCCTCTGGACCTTAATGACCAGGCTCCCAGCCAGGAGCCAGCGGCTGGGGCGAGGGGAGAGTGATTTCAACGCTCTCTGCCCCGAAGCAGGAACCGAAGGGCCAGCCGGTGGGCACCCAGCGTGAGCTCCAGGCACATCTGGACACCTATGCTTTGCCCAGAGTTGCTTTTCTCAGAGGCTGCAGTCACAGGGAAAAGTTGTGACGGTCTTTCCTGCTATTTCCCGTTCGTCCTCTTTCGCCTCCGTTTTTGTTCCCATGTCTTCCTGTACTCCGGGTTCTTTCTTCTGAGGTGGTCTGGGACAATCTGGATGGGTCTCCGGCTTTAACACCCCGGAGCACAGACAGCTTGCAAAATGCTCTCTGGTGGAGGGAGACTTCACTCCATCCTCTTTTCCTCCCTTTTCAACGATTTAAATCCAGGAAAAAATCGCAGCCCCGCCCTTCAGCACTGGGGTGGTTTTGGAGGTGTCGCCTGCCACCTCCTGGCAGACGCCACTGTGACAGCTACGCCACCACACAAAGGCGCGGGAGCGTGGCCAACATCCTGACAATGTTTGTCTCTCGGCCAAGCAGTGTTTTCCTTGTCAAATGTGGCTCGTTTTTTATTCCTGTTTACTGGGGAAATGGTGACAGAACAAATGTCAGACTCAAAACTGAGAATTCAAGGTAGTGATTTTCCAGAATCACTCAGCAAATAACAACCATCTGTTCCCCTGTATTCACTGAAGAAAGGACAATTTGCCTCCCTCCTGCACCCTCCCTCGTCCCTACTAAATTATACCCATGAATATATAAAGTGAACTGAAGGCACCGTGGCATATAAGCCACGGACTCTAAAGCAAAGGGATGTAAATTTCTTTTCCCTCTCACACCCAGGATAAAATGGGCTTAGAATTACTTGTCAGTGTTGGCCGGGCACTGTGGCTCACGCCTGTAATCCCAGCACTTTGGGAGGCCGAGGCGGGTGGATCACGAGGTCAGGAGATCAAGACCATCCTGGCTAACATGGTGAAACCCCGTCTCTACTAAAAATACAAAAAATTAGCCGGGCGCAGTGGCTCACGCCTGTAATCCCAGCACTTTGGGAGGCCAAGGCGGCGGATCACAAGGTCAGGAGATCGAGACCGTCCTGGCTAACACGGTGAAATCCTTTCTTCACTAAAAAAACACACAAAATTAGCCAGGCTTGGTGGCAGGTGCTACTCGGGAGGCTGAGGCAGGAGAATGGCGGGAACCCGGGAGGCAGAGCTTGCAGTGAGCCGAGATCGCGCCACTGCACTCCAGCCTGGGCGACAGAGTGAGATTCCGTCTCAAAAAAAAAAAAAAAAATTACTTTCCAGTGTTTACATT